>NC_000005.10:164246172-164549202 GCF_000001405.40 Homo sapiens
TACATCTGTCTGAGAGCACGTATCAAGCAATTACAATTGTATACCTTTTTTTCCTCAGACATTCTCAATTGGCTAGACTCTCTGAGGATTGAGGCTATATATTGTTAACAAATTCCCAGTCCCTATGTTGAGTAGGGTCTGCCTTAGAGCAGTTATATAAATATTTATTGAGTAAATCAATGAGTGAATGAGTGAGTGAATAAACTTTAATAGAGAAAAACTGTCCCAACAAGACTCTCTTTCAGAAAGTTCCTCTATTTAATCAAAAGGTAAGCTGACCCAATTTCAATCTAAGGCAAACTTTAACATATTACATCTTATATCTGAAAAAAATTAAAGCTTTACATATTCTTGCAAATCCTCTGAGATATGATTTCCTCTGAAGCCTGTGGATCTCATTCTACCCGACAATGGGAACACAAAGGAAAGCTGATTCTGTGAACCCTAAGCCTTGTAGAAGATTGTGAAACCAATTATGCTATAAATAAACATTAAAGACTTTTATCTAGAAGTTTTGTTTCTGGAAAAATAGGTCAGGACCTAAGAAATTATTTTTGTTTACATCACTGAATTGCAATGATTACGTATACTAATTACACTGAATTACAATGATCACACATGCATATACCAATGGTATATGGTAGAAGAAAGAAATAAACCCATTACTTTTTAACTTTTTTTGTGGGTACATAGTAGGTTTATATATTTTTGGGATTATATGGGATATTGTGATACAGGCATACAATGTGTAACAATCACATCAGGGTAAATGGGCTATCACCTCAAGCATTTATCCTTTGCATTACAAACACTCCAATTATACACTTTTAGTTATTTTAAAATGTGTAATTAAATTATTATTGACTATAATCACCCTGCTGTGCTATCAAGTACTGGATCTTATTCATGCTTTCTATTTTTTTTTGTACTCATTAACCATCCCCACTTTCCCCTCACACCCCTACTACCCTTCTCAGCCTCTGATATCCATCATTCTAGTCTCTATCTCCATGAGTTCAATTGTTTTAATTTTAGCTCCCACAGATAAGTAAGAACATGTAAAGTTTATCCATCCATGCCTGGTTTATTTCACTTAACAAAACATGAAAATGCATACAATTACTGATTCATAATTTGGGAGTAATTTTTTTTCTATGAGATTGTACTTCCACACATACTGTATATTATACTGGATTTTCATTTTAGAATAAAACAGAGCATTCTACTTGTTGAAAGGAAACATTGATGAAACAAATACCTGGTGAGCTAGCACAACTTAACTAGCTACTGGCCTGCAGGAAGGAAGCTATGAGAATCATGAATCTTCTCTACTCAAGGACGTCTTGAGCCCAGGAGATGGCTTGTATTATACTTAGCATCAATGCCCTGGATGACCTGCCATGTACTGTCTTCCTAATGAATTTCACTACAGATTAGATGCTTTAACAATGCATAACTTTCAGAATGAAAAGAGTTTTTAAAAGTCTGTGTCAAGTTCTGATTGTCCAGAATTAACAGGTCATCTAAAACATATCATTTTTCAAGAACTATAAAGTGGCAGTAGCTAATTTTTGAGTGGTTACTCTGTACTAGGTTCTGTATAAGTGATCTCATTAAATCCTCATTTGGGTACTACTTTTATCCCCACTTTGCAGATGAGGAGACCATGACTTGGAGGGTTTAAATCAACTGTGTAAGAGCTTATGGTGCTGGATCCCTTTAATACTACACCATTCTGCCAGTCCCCATAATATTTCCAGAGGACTTGGATGATATCTCGAAATTGAAGACGGGTTTTAATTTTCATATCATTTAACTCTCTGCTGCTTCGAACATTAAGTTTGAGGATAATATCCTGGCAAGAGTTCTTGGTTTTTTTGGGCAAATCCAGCCCTGACTTACTGTGTTTGATTAGCATAGTATTTAAGGAAACTATTTTTATTGCTTTGATGTTGGGGAGGTATTCTCCAGCCCCATGTAACCATTCCTTATAGTCATATACCCTTGTAAATCAAACATTATTATTGTAATAGCCTCTGAAGACATTTTAGTTTATTATGTCTCCCAACAAACACAATCAACAGCATTTCTACCCACAAGATCTCCTTGGTTCCCCTCAATATACTTCTGTTATCCTTTCAAATAGTCTTAATTTCATTGTCAGGGCCCAAAATCGTTTCATCTTTTTAATTCTTTAATAGAAATCTCCTTTACCTCCAACTATGCTAATAGAGTCGTAACATGTATTCATTTAATATGACTTTTTTTGTAAGTTATATTGTAATTTTAATGGACAAAGACACAGAAGAAACCAATCTCACAGGGTAGAATTTCAGACTGTCAGGTTAAAGTAAGGTATTTTTCAAGGTATGGGGCTTTTAGGGAGCTTCTGAAATCCTATCTTTCTGGTATCAATTTCTTTTTATTTTTTATTTCATTTTTTTATTTATTTTATTTTATTTTATTTATTATTATACTTTAAGATTTAGGGTACATGTGCACAATGTGCAGGTTAGTTACATACGTATACATGGAACACTTTTACGCTGTTGGTGGGACTGTAAACTAGTTCAACCATTGTGGAAGTCAGTGTGGCGATTCCTCAGGGATCTAGAACTAGAAATACCATTGACCCAGCCATCCCATTACTGGGTATATACCCAAAGGACTATAAATCATGCTGCTATAAAGACACATGCACACATATGTTTATTGCGGCATTATTCACAATAGCAAAGACTTGGAACCAACCCAAATGTCCAAAAATGATAGACTGGATTAAGAAAATGTGGCACATATACACCATGGAATACTATTCAGCCATAAAAAATGATGAGTTCATGTCCTTTGTAGGGACATGGATGAAATTGGAAATCATCATTCCCAGTAAACTATCGCAAGAACAAAAAACCAAACACCACATATTCTCACTCATAGGTGGGAACTGAACAATGAGAACACATGGACACAGGAAGGGGAACATCACACTCTGGGGACTGTTGTGGGGTGGGGGGACGGGGGAGGGATAGCATTGGGAGATATACTTAATGCTAGATGACGAGTTAGTGGGTGCAGCGCACCAGCATGTCACATGTATACATATGTAACTAACCTGCACCTTGTGCACATGTACCCTAAAACTTAAAGTATAATAATCTTTTTTTAAAAAAGCCTAGAAATGCCCACAATCCTACTGCCGACCATTGTCTGTGGGGTTAATTTACTCTATTAATTAAATCGTTGATACTTTCTTCAGCTAAATTGGAAACAAGAAATGTACTTGATGATTTTTCTTCTTATATTTATAATACAGAAAGGATTCCTGCTTTATTTTTATCTCTTTTAAGTACTTTGTCCATTTCTCAGAAAAAATACTGATTTAAGTAATATATTTGAGAAATAGATTTATCTCGGTAGTAATTAGTGTGCTGTAATTTACTTATACATAATTAAACTTGTTATCTGGTTCTAAAATTTTCCTGAAAATTTTCATTTTATAGGTCAAAATTCTATAAAATAATGTCAGAGAAAGTATAGATAATGTTTAACAATGCATGATTTATTTTTTGTTTGTTTTCTTTTATGTAAAGCGCTAGTGACAGAGAAATTTTTTCTAATTACTTTAACAGAATTTTTTTGGAGTATTTTTATAATCTATAAAAGATATATCTTCCATGCCAGAGAGTAACCATATCACAATGAAAACATTAGCCTTTCTGACAATTTCAACTTTTTAATCTTTTAGAATTTAGATCAAATTGCTTGAATCGACAGTCTCTACCTAATCCCTCCAAATTCTGGAAGCTTTGCACATTATCGTCTTAGCATTTAATGGAATATAACTACACACAGTGTGGACATAAATTCCAAATACCTATAATTAAAAAGAATAAACGTATTTTTAGGGATGTGCATTCTAATACTCTACCCTAATTACTTCAGAAATTTGCTAAAATATAATAAAATGTTTAGCATGCATTTCCTTCTAGCTTCTCTAAATTACCTAAGATGCCCATTTTGGGAGGTATTTGCATATGAAATATTTATGTTCCTTGAAATCAGTTACTTAGCTAAGGAAAAAAAAAAGCCTGTAATAAAATAAAGTGTTTAAGAGCTGAATAAATGTTTCCTACCCTCTTTGGTCAATCTATTGCAAACAGTGACTTTTAAAAGTTCACCTGACACTATTAATAGAAGTAAGTCAGTCTAAAGTTATCTACAGATTTTTAATGCAACGTTTCAAGCCAAAAAAGTCTTGATTCATCAGGAAAGCCTGAGATTATTAGTATGAAAAGGCTTTACTCACCAAAAAGATCAGTCATTATTATGTAATATTAATATTGATTGGACTTAGAATATCCTGGATTTTAGTGTTAGGAAAGGGTGCTGAGTAATGTAATCAGTGCCCCATAAAATCAGTATCTTTTCCAATTCTCAATTGCATTTGTTTACATACAAAACGGGGTATTCAACTTTATAGATATGATTTAGGTAATTTAATAATGTGTGAATGAGATTTTAGCTCTGCAGTAGAAACAAGGATCTCCTTCAGTCTAGTGCTTGATATGGGTTTTTGTGCTTTAATAAAACAATGTACCGCCGGGCACGGTGGCTCACGCCTGTAATCCCAGCACTTTGGGAGGCCGAGGCGGGCGGATCACGAGGTCAGGAGATCGAGACCATCCCGGCTAACATGGTGAAACCCCATGTCTACTAAAAACACAAAAAATTAGCTGGGCGTGGTGGTGGGCGCCTGTATCCCCAGCTACTCGGGAGGCTGAGGCAGGAGAATGGCATGAACCCGGGAGGCGGAGCTTTCAGTGAGCCGAGATCACGCTACTGCACTCCAGCCTGGGCTACAGAGCGAGACTCCGTCTCAAAAAAAAAAAAAAAAAAAATGCAAGTCCTCACAATGCTATTTTCTAAATTCCTATTAGATTTTTCAAAAGCTTAGAGAAAATTTTGTAAAATGTTTAGATAAGGTAGCTTAACATAAATATTTTTTGTTAGTTTACATTCTGAAGCTATTTCTCTCTTACATATACTATTTAAATGTTTCCTGATTCTTCATAGACAAAGTGCCCTGATATTTGAACTGACAAAGTGTGAAAATAGAAAGAAAAAAATACACACACACACACACACACACACACTTGAATTTTATTAGACGATGTTTTTATACTACTACTGGAAGTTATTTCTTGAGTATTTCTTTAATATTCTCCAAACTTGCAGACAGGAAATATGTATATTATAATATATAACTATAATATAGTATAATAACTTACTATTACATTAATAATATTACATATTTAATATAATATATTATAATATTATATTTGCATATTATAATATGTTAATAATATTACATAAGTATATCTTAGTAGAAATTTCCATGCCGGAAAGCTGACAGCAAATTGAACTCTTCTAAAAGCATGAGAATAATAATCAAATTAATCTTCTGAAAGTATTTTAATCATATCCTTTCATTGTTCCCAAACAATTCATGGATTCTGTTTACCTAAGACAACAAAAGTCAATGGGCATTTAGGTTGATTTCATGTCTTTGCTATTGTGAGTAGTGCAGCAGTGAATAAATGCTTGTATGTCTCTTTATGGTAGAATGATTTATGTTTTTGGGGGAATATATACCATAATGGATTGCTGGGTTGAATGGTAGTTCTATCTTAAGATTTTGAGAAATCAACAAACTGCTTTTTACAGTGGCTGAACTGATTTACATTCCTACCAGCAGTGTATAAGCATTCCTTTTCTGTGCAACCTCACCAGCATCTATCATTTTTGGATAAAGAAAATGTGGTACATATACACCATGGAATACTATGCAGCCATAAAAAAGAATGAGATCATGTCCTTTGCAGCAACATGGATGGAGCTGGAGGCCATTATCCTAAGTGAACTAAGACAGGAACAGAAATCAAATACTACTTTTTCTCACTTATAAGTGGGAGTTAAACATTGAGTACACCTGAGTACAATAAAGGGAACAACAGAAACCAGAGTCTACTTGAGAGAGGAGGGTTTGAGGAGGGTGAGGATCAAAAACCTACTTATCAGGTACTATGCCTTACCTATGTGACGAAATAATCTGTATAACAAACTCCCACGACATGAAATTTACTTATATAACAAACGTGCACATGTAGCCCTGAAGTGAAAATAAAAGTTAAATATAAATAAAATAAACCAAAAGTTCCACCAACTACTTATCCTGAAATTAAAAGCTCTGACAATACATGCTGGATCTCTGTTGGTGAATACTTTTACTGTCATTCTTATACAATTTACACATCTTGTACAATTTATACATCTTGTTTCACTGTAACACTTTTTTCTCACTCCACTTTTCCTTCACTGATTATTTACTTGTGAAATTGTACTTAACATCCAAAGAGCCTGTATAAATGCCAATTTGCGCCCAGGAAGTCTTCCATGATTTTATCCAGAGGCATTTATTTCTCAGGCTTCTAAACTTCCAAAGGGCTTTATCTCTGTCCCTCTCAGTATACTCATTACTTTTATAAATGTTTCATTGTATTTATTTTCATACTGGCCACTAATTTCTTTAGGTAAAGCATGATCAACTCTCATATTCTTCACACTGTTGTGCATAGTAGGTGCTCAGTAAATTACTAACTGGAGCAATGCTATCATAGCAGAAAAGTCATCATGACAGTAACAGAGTAATATATTTTTTTGAGACTGACTCTCATTCTGTCTCCCAGGCTGCAGTGCAGTGGCATGATCTCAGCTCACTGCAACGTCTGCCTCCCAGGTTCAAGCAATTCTCCTGCCTCAGCCGCACGAGTAGCTGGGATTACAGGCGCCCGCCAAAACGCCCGGCTAATTTTTGTGTTTTTAGTAGAGACAGAGTTTCACCATGTTGGCCAGGCTGGTCTTGAACCCCTGACCTCAAGTGATCTGCCCGCCTTGCCCTCCCAAAGTGCTGGGATTACACGCGTGAACCACTGCGCCCGGGGCCAACAGAGTAATTTTTAAGTGTAAAACACTGGATTAACCTCTTTATACTCCCCAGGGAAAAACTAAAGAATACAAAGTATGAAAATCAATTTCTTTCAATCTTAACTATTCTGGATATATGTCTCCCCAAAATTACCACTAAATAATGTAGGAATCATCAACAATAGGATGAAAAATATTTATTTGATTCAAAGTGAGTATGATAACAATGTTTGCTAATTCTATGATAACTCAAAAACTTAAATGTTCTCTACTTTTTTACAGTTTGGAGAAGATTTTTAAAGCAATTTGTATCTTTAAAGAAAAGATCATCAATTTCTGATGCTGTTCACAACCACAAAGCCTGAGAAGGTGAAGGGAATGCCGTTAAATACCACTGAAGCTTAGAAAAAACGTTTCCAGACCTCATTCATTTCCTCTGTCAGTAAGGAAATACTGTGTTCAGACAATAAGAAAAGAAACCAGTAATAGAAATTGCTGCAAATTCTGTTTGTGTTGATCCTTCAAGTTCAAACCTTTCATTTCATGGGCTGTAGCTGTTAAGAAGAGAGCTGGGGGAGCCCGATTATTCATTTCTATAATTAAAGAGATACCCAGTCATTGAAATATATGCCCTTCTCTGTGACTGACAGCCGCTATGATTGGATGTTAGCAATGGGCCCCGTGGAAGATGAATTCAGGTAATCTCCATTTTTTTTCCTTCTTCTCTCAGAAAGGCCTCAAATTGACACTAATTTTATGGTCTCAAATCCCAGAGTCCCTTGGATACTGAGAATGGAATGTAAAGAAATTCTCCTTGGTGTCAGTCAGTAACTTTCCCTTTTCTTCAGGTTACAAAAGGCGATTGACAGGAAGAGAAGGTCTGCTCACTGCTACAACAGAGATGAACTTGAAAACTGATTGACAGACATCTCCTCTAGACCTTATTTTTTTCTCATTGTGATGATACCAGTGATGATGAAGAATAGATGATACAAGTTCATAGGAAGATAGGTACCTTTAACTGTCATTGTCAAAGTCAGATGGCACAATGGAGACACACCAACCAAAATAAAGCCAGGTCTCACTGAACAGATTTTTCCTTTTCCTCTTATCCATTCACTTAGAAAATTAAGGACAAGGAATTACAGTACAAAGACCCCTCCCTTGTCTGTATTCTAAGAGCCCAGTCCTTCCCCAGAAAATACAGCATTCCCAACCCTTCACACTACACAGGTTGTAAATAAGCAGTAAATATGTGTTGAGTTAAAGAAACTAAAGATACAGAAAATATATTCTCCTTCAAAAACAAAGAAGAGAAATTAACACGAGTTGACTATTTGCAGTGTTTTAGGCACAGTGAATTATATGGATGGCCAGATAGCGGCCACACACATGTGCACACTGTAAGTGCCAGGGACACACAGAGGTGGCCCCCAGAAAAGAATTAGATGCCACAGGTCTCAGTGCACATGGCTTTGCCCTGCTCAGGTGAGTCTCTCTGCGCCTGGCCAGGTCTGGAGCTTGATTTTGTGTTGCCCTACAGTCCATTTAGACTTCTACCATTATCTGGAAAAACTAGCACAATATGTGTGATATGGTTTGGCTGTGTCCCCACCCAAAATCTCATCTTGAATTGTAATCCATATAATCCCCAGGTGTAAAGGAAGAGACCAGGTATAGGTAATTGAATCATGGGGGTGGTTTTCCCCGTGCTGTTCTCGTGATAGTGAGTGAGTTCTCACGAGATCTGATGGTTTTAAAGTGTTTGGTAGTTCCTCTTGCCTTCATTTTCCCTCCTGCCGCCTTGTAAAGGAAGTGCCTTGCTTCCTCTTTGCTTTTCGCCAGGATTGTAAGTTTCCTGAGGCCTCCCCAGCCATGCGGAACAGTGAGTCAATTAAAACCTCTTTCCTTTCTAAATTACCCAGTCTCTGGCAGTTCTTTATAGCAGTGTGATAACGGACTAATACAGCATGCTTCAGGGGATACATCTTCACTATGGGCGGGGCTACCTTCTTACCCAGGGGGAACAGTCAGAGTAAGTGTGCAGACATTACCAATCACTATGTCCAGCGTCCTAGAAAGCAGTTTTCCCCAAATATAGCATTTTTCCAAGGACCAGAAAATCTAAGCAGAAAAACAAATATATTATTAGTAGTTTAAAATCTCAATTCTTTAGCTGGTAGGTAGGAGCATTGTAGGAGAAAACCTGAGTCAGATAAGCTTTGGAATATAAACCATGTGTTGTTCACTGCTCTACCCTCAGCATCCAGAAGACTTCCTAGCACATATCTGGCCTTCAGTTATTTGTTGAACTAATCAATATGCAAAAATATTTAGAATGCTGGGCCTTCTCCCAGATGTTGTTCGGGGATCAGAAAATCCAAACTAGCCCAGAAAGAGAAACTGGGTGCTTCCAGTTTCATACTGCCTTCCATTAATCACATTTCCTACTTGATTGTTCAAGTAGGGACTTTTGTTTAATTAGCAGCAAGCATTGCAAGTTGCTAAAAACACAAGTTCAGCTCACATCCTTGCCCTTTTATCTCTACTACCCCATTCAAATTTACTTTATATGTTCTTTTATTACAGGAGCTTCTGGTTACACCGTCTGAGGAGAGAGGATTCACTGGGAGCTGCCTTTGTCTTGCAGATACCACCCAGGTGCAGTTCCTTAAGAACTTGTGTGTTATTTTCTTTTGTAGAAAATAGCCTGTCAAACCTGCTAAGAGAAAGAGTTCAAGGTCAAGAATAGATTAATCAGCTTTCCAAAGATACTGTCACCCAGCCCATGGATAGTTTATCTTAGCATAGACAAGAACAAGATGTCAGAAGTGCTGAAATGTTGTTCTGCCATCTACCAGCCACACCAGTAGGTGGCCTCGACAAGGGGGAAAAGAAAGGTACCCTTCATTCATTCATTTATTCAACAAATACATATTGAACATTTACCTCATGTAAGGTCTGTGCTATTACCTTGACTAAAGAAGTATTTATACAGTTCCTGCCTTCAAGATGCTCACAGCCTGGGCATAGAGGAATGGAGGTGGCCCGTGATACAATCCTATTTATGGGACAGAAAATGCCGCCCAAAATTGCCAGACAAAAAAATGTGTCCTCTGCCCCATGTAAAAATAAAATTACAAACTATGATTATTAATTATTAAGTTAGTCACAGTAATCTGTGCGAACATCACAAAAATCATAAGTAACAAATATTGCAAAAAATACACCATGCTATATATACCAAAGTTTCTGTTGTAACACCTTTTATCCAAAAACTACTCCTTTGCTCTGTTTTAATGTTGCCACTAAATACCAGTTCTTATTTGTTAAGCATGCCTCAAATGAGGTAATAGAATTATGGCTAGATTATACCACTATTAGTCATTCTGCCCTGGAGAAGGTATTGAGAAGGGTGAATTTCTTCATCCTCTTTTGAATTACTCACTTTGTCATACTCCTATGTCACTCTAACCTTTAAAAAAAGGTGGAGAGCCCAAAATTGCTTGCTTAGACTTAAAATTTCTCACTGACAAATGGCTAAAACTTATGAGATTCGCCTTAAATACTATTTCTTCTCACTCAGAGTAGTTAATAAATAAATCAACGGCAGAAAAGCTCTTTGACAAGTTTCCACCTCTCCATGGTCCAGAATTTTGTCTCATCCTTCATTACAAATAACTAAAATTAGACCTAACCCACTGAAGGGAGTCGGCAATTTCTCCAAAATAGCAGCAGGTAAGAAAAGAAAATCAAAATCCAGTGAACTGAATGCTAGGATTGTTAATATACATGGCCCATGAAAGGGTCCTCAAGTCCACCTTTCTAGAATTCATCTTTCAAGAGAAGGTCATTGCTGGGGTGTATCTTGGATATTGAATAGGAATTAGCCAGGATAAAGAGAACAACAGCAATAAAAAATTAAAAACTGATAAGGAAGGAGAAAGAGCACATGCCATGTAATAATTAACAGCATTTACGTATGACCCAAAGGGAGGAGAAAGCGTGCCACACTCTGGTGAAGCAGGATGGTGGTAGAGTGGATAGGAAGTTAGAAAAGAATGGAGAGAGAAAGATGTTCAATAGGTTTGTATGTAGGAAGGAAGCAAGGTTGGGCAAGATCATATAGAATCTTATAAAACTTTAATATGAAATCTGGGCTTGGCCCATTGAATGGTTACTTAGGAATAATTTTAAGCCAGCTCCTGAGATCTGTGATTCTCAGAGGTCACTGTGACTGCAGCCTGGAGGAAGGAACAGGGATCTGATAAGGTGCCAAGGCTGGAGAAAGGGGAAAGAATCAGAAGGTTCTAACTTTACTGAAGTTAGGTCTGGAAAGAAGCGACAGTCCCAAATATTTAGATGATAGATAAGGTGACCGAAAGAGAGAAATCAAGTATGTGTTCAGGAGGAATGTCAGGTTTTACTGAAGTTTAATAGTCCTCTGTTAGAAAGTGTCTAACTCTAAAAGAAAGTATATTCTTATAGAATATTACATGAATTTTGCTGCACTCACTTCCCAGTAAGGAAGATAAAATAAGCCTGTTTGTAGAATAAAGACTAATAATACTTACCTTTATCATTAAATCCAGTTGCAGAAAAAAGGAGAAGCAAATTAAACATAACCGTATAAAAGAAATTACCTGTTTATTATTTTGCCATGTTTTTGCTATGCATATATTTGTATTTTGTGTGTAATTTAATATAATTTATTAAAGTATAATTTAAATGTAATACAATATATCCATTTTATGTGTACAGTTTAAAAAGTTTTAATATACATTCAGGTAAACATCAAAATAAAAATACAGAACATTTCCATTACTTCAAAACATTCCCTATCTTTACAGTCAAGTTCACCACCATCCTCAGCCCCACACAATCATTAATCTGCTTTCTACCAATATAAATTAGTTTTGTCTTTTATAGGATTTCATATAAATACAACTATCCAGTACAGACTCTTCATATCTGAGTTCTTTCATTCAGCATAATGTTTTTGAGATTCATCCACAGTGAGATTCATTCGTAGTGGCGTTTAACTTTTGGAAATTAGTCATTGTAATTACCATATTGTCAGAATACAGAAGAAAAGTTACATGATGCTTTTAATATGTCTATAAACATCTTTTTAAAGATTCAAAACCTATTTATTTTTTAAAACAATCAGAAAAGTACAAATGGAAGAGAATTTCTTCAAACCGATCAAGTACATCTACACATATCTCACAGGATGACATTATACTTAAGAAATTAGTTATATTAGTTTTGCTCTAGGATTCTCAAAATTATCTAGGTTAATAATTATATAATTTGGGAACAAAGATAAACACGCTATTCCTCTCAAATGTGTATACCTATTTTTTAAAATTGCCTCATTGCACTTGCTGAGAATTCCAGTATAATGCTAAATAGAAGTGGTGAGAGTAGATCCCGTTTTCTTTCCAGTCTTAAAGCAAAAGCATTGCAGTTGATTTTGAAATATTAAGCCAGGCATGCATTCTTGAGGTGAATCTTAATTGGAGGTGATGTAATATTGTTTTTTATATTGCTGGATTCAATACGTTAATATTTTCTCAGGGATGCTTTGTATTTACACTCATGATGGATATTCGTCTCAAATTATTTTTGGTAATTGCTTTCAGTAACATAATAATTCTGTTCTCTTGATGGCCATTTTTTAAATTGACACTGGACACTTTGAATGTTACACTATTGAGTGTCTGAATTCTGTTGTCTTAATTTAAAAAGAGTTTAGGTTTGGTTCAACTGCAATGAAGTAACCTGAAGATTAGATTGGTCCTATTGAGCTTACTGAGGCTTTTTGTTCATTCTTTCTTCCTTCATTTTTTGCTCCCTCTCTTTCTTCCTTCCTTTCTTTCTCCCAGAAAGTCTAGTCATTATTCTAGAACCATCTTTCTTCTTAGCTACTACTAAGTTAGTCATCTTTCCCTACCTGTGCCCCAGTTTTTCAATAATATCTCCCAGTTCTGCCAGGATGGAAACATAATATCTCCTGGACCACTGTGGGCTCCAGAAATGTTTATCTTTCAGCTCCCTAGTAGTTCTTTGCCCAGCTTCATGGAGATTCCCCTGCTACCTGCACAGCTTAGAGTTCAGCAGCAGATGCAAAGGAGTCCTGCTGTGTGCTCCTTTTCTGTGTACCTCTTCCCCTCTAGTACTTGGCCTTCGTAGTCTCACACATGGCCTTCTCCCTGAAGTCCAGCCTCTATCTTCTCAACCAGTGGAGCCACTGGCTTATAGCTTAGATTTCTTTCTCTGAACTATCACCTGGAAGGTTTGTTCAGGCAGAAATCCGGGGCAGCTGTAGGCCCAACTCATCCAGTTTGCTTCTTTTGGGTATTATACGCTTGTTGGCAATGTGTAAAAAAAGTTTTCCACGTATGTATTTCGGTTTCCTTTGTTTACAGTGAGAGGGCACGTCTAGTATCAGTTACTCCAATATGACGATCAGCAGAATTCCATGTGTCTTTGTATTATGTGAAATACTGTATTAGATGTAAGAATGCTAAATGATGTCATGCATTTTCAATTGACTTTTGAACTAGCTTCAGCAAATTTTCACTTTGTAACTCCAGTTCTTAATGTCTCTATTTATTAGAAACTGATTATCTAGCAACATAAACAAAATATTCTATTTTTTGAAAGATGTACTCATAGGAAAATGAATCCATTACAGATGATGAGTTTACATTTATATAATAAAGTTTATCAAAATGTATTTTTCTTAATCTGGTCTTGCAGCAAGTTTGCTAATTAATTCTCTATGTTAAAGAACCTACATAAGAAAATGGGGTTACTATAGCAGTTGAGATCTGGTTTGTGTGACAAAGGGAATTGGCAGAATGTCTTGACTGACAACCACCACCAGTGGGAAGATATCTCACAAAGCACACCAATCAAAACATATTTTAACAACCCGTTTAAAAAAATTGATAGATAGGAAAATTACTTTTCTTGTGGATCATATAAACAGGTAAATATTTTTTCAAGTATAATTGAATGGACGAACATTCTTGAACACACAAAAACTCCAGCAATGTAGTTTCCATCCTTCCAGGAGATGATTGTTGGTGGCAATTGAATTAATCTAATGGTAGAATTGGACTAACATAAAGGCTAGGGTGACAGAAAAGCGTGTAAGTGTTAAATGATCTAAAAAATGTACAAATGATAAAAATCACTCAGAAAGGGACAGGGAGAAGTAGGGAGAGATAGTAAATTCTTTGATTATCTAATTTTTAACAGCTGGATGTTTAATCAATTTTTAAAAATTAATAAATTATGAAATGAGAAAACATTTGTAATAGTAGTAAGCACAAGGAGAAATAAATAATTGACTAAGGTAGTAGAGGAGAGGAAAGAGAAGGAAAAGGAAAAGGAAATACTCCAAATTGTATCATTGCTTTTGGAATAAAATAGAAATTGTTGGGAGAAAGAGAAGACTAGGGTATAAAGTTATAGTTACAAAAACAAAACAAAATTATAATTTCCTAGATATCAGAAACAGTATGCACAAAAATATATTTATAAAGACATGATGTGAGACCTTAACAATATATAAAAATAAAATACAACATTATATGACCTAAGGGTAAATATATCTTTCATATTAGAAATTATAATGGGCTTTATTCAATTATTATGGGTAAAATGAGTTTCACATTGAATCAGATAGCAAACACAACAGCAAAATCCATACACAAAATACAGCCAAAGAATGTAATTCAGATTAGGTAAAAACAAAATGATGGAAAAAGTGTTCAAGGCAAATACAACCAAAAAGGAAACAGGAGTAATGAACTTAATGTCAAACAAATTGTAATTAAGGCCAAAAACTATGACCGATAAAAATAACAATAGTTTATATTACTAAAGTTTGCGATCTATGATGAAGGTATAATAATTATAAATATTCTACAAGTGGCAAAGGATCAGTATTCCATATAGCAGATATTAAAGAAGATACATGGAAAATTAGTCAAATGCCACTAATAATATCACAATTCCTGAGAATTGCAATGAGGAACACATCTTAAAATATTTCCAAAAAGATATTAAGTTTAGAAAATATTTTTAACTTAAAAAAAATAATTTCTCAGCCTTTTGGCTAACATCAAATGAAAACACATACACACGAACCAGAACTTTTTTCCTGAAGAAGTCCTTGATTTAGAATGCCCTATATAATTCTATCCATACCATAGTTCATCTTGATTCTTACTGCTTTCTTAATACTTAGCACATATTTTGCATTTATTATTTTTCAGACATGTGCATTCATTTACTGTGTTGTCTCATTGTATTTTGACCAACCTCTATAAGGTAGATATTATTTACAATATCAGATTTAAAAACATCAACAATAAAACAAAGTTTATAAACAGTAAGTGTTTGCTCAAACCCACATTGCCCGTAAGTGATAGGGCCAGGATTGAAATGTAGCCATTCTAACTTCTTGTTTACTGTTAATCTGTTCTGATATTACTGGAACTAACCTTTTTCTGAAATCTCATAGCTTTATGGAAAAACAAATATAACTTAAACATACTAAGTATATATTTTTATCTATTCTATCACTATGTTTGTATATTTTACTTTTCTCCATTTTTCCCACCTGTGGTTTCAAGAAAAAAAAACAAAACCCAAACAACTGCATCTCCTATTTTCTTTGTACTTTTTACTATAGGTGAAATAGTATCACCTACTGTCTCATAACAGACCGAATAAGTAGGCATCGTTTAAATCATTTTGGGAAACAAAAGATTTTTGTAGAAATTCTTGCTTTTTATGTGACATTTCTGAAGAAATTCACATCATTGGCATAAAAATTAAAAGACAAAATCTACAAATTAAGCATCAAAGTTTGCTTCCACTTGCATTAGATGGCCTGCCTTCCTCCCTCCCTCTCTCCCTCCCTCCCTCCCTCCCTCTTTGGTCCCCATTACCCAAGCTTATCTTCCCATATATGGTTTGGATCTGTGTCCCCACCAAAATCTCAGGTCAAACTGTAATCCCCATGTTGGAGGTGAGGCCTGGTGGCAGGTGACTGAATCATGGGGATGGAGTTCTCATGAATGGTTTAGTAACAAACATCCCCCCGTGGCAGTGTACAGTGAGTGAGTTCTCATGAGATCTGGTTGTTTAAAAGTGTGTCACAACTTATGCCTCTCTCAGTCCTGCTCCTTCCATGTAAGACGCCTGCTCCCGCTTTGTCTTCCACCATGACTAAAAGCCCCCTGGGGTCTCCCCACAAGCAGATGCCACCATGCTCCCTCTATAGCCTGCTGAACTGTGAGCCAATGAAACCTCTTTTCCTTATAAATTACGCAGCCTCAGGTATTTCTTTATAGCTGTGTGAGAATGAACTAATACACCTTTTCATATAATGTGTTGAATAAGAATCCTTTTTATTTGTATGTTCTCCTGTAAGATGTTTTTGTTTAATTTTGCGTAAATGGAACATGCTTGCTACATCTGCTTTTTGTTTTTTTTAAATCATTCCTCGCGGTGTTTCTAAGATGTGTCTATGTCGCTGTGAACATCTTTTTGTGTATCGTTTCTTTTCTAGTGTTGTACAGTGTCTCTATAGGTTTTTGCATTTGACCTATTCACTCTTCTGAAATGGACATCCAGCTTTTCTCCATGTCCTTTTAATCAGAAATATTACTTTGAATAATAACCTCATTCATGCTCCCTTGTAGACCCAAGAGGGAACTTACTTGAGATATATACTCAGGAGTGAAATGTATGAGTCAGAGGCCATATATAAGAATACTTAATTTAACAAAAGCAGTACCATATTGCTCTAAGAATGGTGTCACCCCACTATATTCTCTCTAGTAAAGGAGGGTTATGATAATCTCACATCCAACTTACCAATGTTTGACAATAAATAGAATATAAAGTGACAACACACTGTTCCATTTCATCCTTTGTAGGATTTTCTCTACCAGTAGAAAAAAGATCTTTGACATGATTTTTTACATAAGACACAACCCAAAGACTTAACTTGGAAATCCAGGGGAAAAAACATTCTGTTGAACATTGATCTATCAGAAACCGACTGTTTTATGGCTAATGAGAGGGATAAACATGGATATGTGAATATCCCAACAATTTGCTCCTGGTACTGCTACCCTTTCAAAGAACAGAGAATATTCAGCTTGCTCATTCTAATTACATAGGATGAATCATAGTTCTTTAAATGTAATAAAAAAAGAACAATCTGTCAAACAAAAAAGGCACTTTCTGATAGACATATAAAATAAGACAGAAAACTCAGCCTTAGAATTTATGAAAAAATTATCTATGAATTCTATTAATTAAAAATATAAATTAACTACTGTAAAATTAACTATCAAAAGACGGCAAAACACGTGAGTTTGAAGAGTTTATACCTTTCAATTCTGTCCACACATTATCCATTAATTGCAAATCTTAGAAATTTTTTTAAATAACAAAACTGATACTGAACTAGCAATCTATTTTTCCATATTTTTTCTCATCAATATAATTATATTCCTAAATTATCAATATAATTTATAGGTAAATATATCAAATTATTTTATCATTAATACATATTCAGTATTTAAGTAGATAGAATTGATAATGAACCAGAAAAATTACTACTTTTGAATCTCAATATTTCATAATAATAATGTATTTTTTCCATCAGTGATGACACTACAGTTATATATGATATAAAAGCAAAATTCTCACAGTATTATTCATCTCTGCACCTCCTATACTTACAACACAGCTTGGTATTGAGTTGATGCTCAATAAATATTTATTAAAGGAATATATTTTTATACATATTTCTGATATCAGAAATTGTAATGGATTTAGAATTAGGATTCATGAGTTTTAGTTCAGAATCATTTATTTATGATGATACTTAAGTAAATACTGAAATTCTGTGTCATCAACCTACCTTCTGCTGGGCATTCAGCCTATTTCAAAGTTGTCCTGTTTTTATGAGAGAAACGATCTGGCTCCTTTAGTAAGGCATATTTCAAACGAAAGAAACATTCAACAGAAAAGTAACTTCATGAAGGAGTCCCATACATGGATATCATATGATTCCTTTTGAGAATAATCCTAAGAAATAGGGTAGAGGAAGGGCACCCAAAGGCTTCAGAAAGTAGGTAATGAATGGCTTTGTGAACCCCTGAAATGTATCTGAAGCAAGTTCAGAAATGAGAAGATAATGGCATTTCTCTACCTACAAATATGATAGTTTGAGACTTAAAATGCAGCACCATAGTTAAGAGTTTGAGAGATGAAGTTACTGACAAGGTTGAAATTGCAGCTCCATCTCTTCTTGTTTCTGTGATCTTGAGCAAGCCTTTTAACAATTTCCTTGTTTGCAAACTGGAAATAATAATATCAACTAATTTGGGTTCTTGTGAAGATTAATAAATTAATGCATGTAAATTGCACAGCAAGGTAAAAGCACTCAATAAATATTAACTGTTATTGTTGCAGTATTATAGCGACATCATATTTGCCTACCCAGCACATCACAATTTTCTTTCTCTGACAAATTGCCTCTTTCCAAGTTTTGAATGAGCTGCTGACAGGTATTTTTCTTTTCCTTTTTGTAATGATAATTTAAGGTTGATTAGATCAACTGTGCAACAGAGGTGATGGGAGGTGGGGGGAAAGGTGGGGGAAGGGCAGAGAGGAAGATAAATATTTGACATAATCTGGACCAGGTTATATCTGTGAACAAATAGAACCTGAAAAAGCTAATCCCTCACGATGGGTTCAGGGTGGCTAACTGGGTTTAGATTTTAAACAGAGCCAAGTGGTCATTTGCTAGCTAGAACTAACACAGGTACTCAAGTTTCCTGAAAGTTCCCATATCCTGTTGAACTTCGGGACATTCAGAGCTCAATTGAACCAACTAATCAGAGCCCAGCTGAATTGACTAATCAGAAATCAGCTGTATCAACCAATAAGAACTAAGCAAGTTTCAATTCTTCATTTGCATAAATGGGCCTGATTGAGAACCTGGGTCCAGACTTTTGCTAAAAAACCTTGAACCCTCTCTTTCTTCTCTGGGAAGGACCTTCATTTTATATTGAAAGCTGCATCTTTCTGATCTGTAAACTCTTCATTAGAATGAAGTCACTTTCCTCCACATTTCTTTTCAGAGAACTTTTGATCACATATCTCTCAGTAATTTGAACTTAATACTGAAAGGAAGTTTCACAGAAATTTTAAGGGTAAGAGGGTGGAATAAAACTCAGATGCTATAAGGGCATCTCTCTATATGAATAGAGACGAGAAAGAATATTAGCAGTACCATGAGTGAAGCAGATTACTTTAAAAAAAAAAAAAACAGTGAAGAATGAATGATGGTGTCTTCCCCACAGTTTTCTAATTTCTGGCCCTTTAAAATTCAAGTGACCTTAGGTTAAACTAAATGTGGCTTGAGGCTGCTTCTGTGCTTTGAATCCCTATATAAAAAATTGCAATCTAACTTAGTAAAGGAACTCCCTGAAAGTTTAATTTAGAAGTATACGTTTGTAACAAATACTTGAGTCTTGGCCAGTCATAGCAGCTGAGCTTCAGTCAATCATAGGCTGCCAACTATTCAGACCATGTTTAATTAAGTCAAATGCCCAGCTGTAATCAATCCAGCTGTTTCTGTACCAGCTGTTTTATGTCTGTAAAATGAAAACCTGCCCACTTTGTGAAGCTGAGTTCTAATGAACCTCTTCTGTTTCTTGGGGCTACTAGATTCTCAAGACTTTGCTCAGTTAAATTCTGGGAAATATAATTCATGTAAAGTTTTTTAACACCTGTTGCTTGTCTTCTACAGGACATTTAAAACTATATTTCCTTCATAGAATAACTTATATTGGCTTCTGTTATTTGCAACCTAAAGAACCTTAAATGAGACATATATTAATATGTATATATTAATAAGAGCTAATATATTTTGACTGTTTTTTATCCTGATTCTCAATATAATGGAATGGAATTTATATTTTAAAGAAGCAACATAGGAACTGTGTGTGAATGTGTGTTTATAGTTGTCAGTTCACGTATTAAGAAAACCCATGACTCAAGAAAGATTGTAATAAGCCACCTTAAAAGGTACCATTCCCTTGATTTTAGCTGTTCCAAAGGCATTGACTAATTTAAAATGTTTGTACTATGTTTGTCATATTCCATAAACAAAGATTATGCCCTCTGGATCACTCTGTCTTTTGAAAATTAACGTAATTGGAAATTTAAAGAAATATTTTAAAGGAAAGACCACTAAGATCGTGATATATGTATATATATAATTTTCTTTTATCTTTTCATAGATTATTTTCAATCTGTCAGTACACACAATGTCCACGGGAGAATTATTTACCTGTTTCTAAAGTCTATTTATGCATCTTTCAGGAACAAGCAAATATCACACTGTATTTTATCTTTTCTTTAACCAAATGCTGTCTGACACATCTCCTTCTATTTAAAAATCAAAGGCTTGCTAAAGAAACTGCATCATTCCCTTGGGCATGAATATCTGTAACAAATATATAAGTACGTTGGTTGCAAAAAGAATTAAGAGTGCATTAGCTAGTTAGCATTTCATGAATGACAGGCATACTTATGCCTCAAATATAGAACAGAACAGAAACTGTAGCATATAGGCTTTAGAACCAACTGCTTTGGTAATTTGACATTGATAGCAAAGATGGAAGCATATTACGCTTTCTTGAAAAATAGGGCCTTTTTTGTGATACTATTTTTATTTAAGTTATAAGATAACCAAACACCTCAAAAGAAAGCTATACATATTACCATCTTTCTGGAGCAATATTTAGCAACATGTCTCAACAGACAAATGTCTTCATGATTTCTGACCTAGAGTACAATTTCTACAGTTTATCCTAAAGATATCCTTAGACTATACAATTATAATTTTAACAAGAACAAAAAAGTGGAAATATAATTTTTCAACAAGTGAGAACTAATTAAAATTACCATATTAATGCATACTAGAAATTCTACATAATCAATGCAAGTTATTTGTGGAAATACATATTTGTTAATATGTGAACAAATATAGACAAACAGAAACATATATGTGTTTGTGTATGTAGATATATTGATTTGCAAAGATGTTTACAATATATTTATAATGCAAATTACCCAGGGTTTTTCACTGTTCTGTGATATTTTCTTCTTAAACCCAATTACAATGCTTCCGGTCTCCATGTGGCATACCATGGAAAATCAAAGCTTCACCAATTTCATGACAAAGGCCATCTTTTCTTGCTCAAGTATTTTGAAAATAGGGAGTTGGTCTCAGTTTTGCTAATGAATTAGCTTATACAGTAGCTTTCAAAAATTATTTTTTTCATTTTTAAATTGTTCATACATTTATGTACTTAAAAAACAATAAGAACATGTACAGAAAACCCTCCCTTCTCTTCTTTTTTGTTGTTTACTTTAGGACACCCCTAACCAAGCGGAGGTAACAATTGTTTTTTTCATATTCATTCAGAGTTTCCTTATTCATGCAAAAGTAAATAAAAAATAGATTCTTACGTTCTTCATAACATACATAATGTTACACCTTTGTTGGATAAAGTATTAAAGATGTCAATTATATTGGTTGGTTTTGTTCAGTTCCTCAATATCATTGCTAATATTCTCTCTAGTAATTCTCCTCAATTACTGATAGTGGTGTGTTGACATCCCAATTATAATCACGGTTTTGTCTATTTCTCTTTCCAGTTCTATCAGTTTTTGCTTCATGTACCTTGAAGCTCTGTTGTTTTATGCATACATGTTTAGGACTGATACAACTTCTTAGTAGATTGACTTTTTATCATGAAGTAACATCTGTCTTTTTCTCTAGTAATTTTGTTGGCTCAAAAGTTGACTATCTTATTTTGATGTAGTAACTACATTTGTGGTTAATGGTTGCATTGTCTATCATTCATATTTGTTTATTACCAACCTACCTTTGTCATATTTAAAATACATTTCTTGTAGACAGCATATTGTTGAATCATGTTTTTCTGTGCACTCTGCCAGTCTCTGTCTTTTAACTGGCATATTTAGAACATTTATATTTAAGGTAATTATTGATATATTAATATGGTTCAAATATTCTATTTTATCATTTTTTCTGCTTGTTTTGTTTCTTGTTCCTCTGTTTCTCTCATATTACTGTATTGCAGGTTATTTATTCATTATTTAGGATTTCGTCTTCATTTATATATGGTGTTCCAGAGTACAGCATTTTGCATCCTTTTCTTAGAGAATGCCTTAGGTATTACAATCTACATACATAACTTATCAAAGCTACCAGTATTGACATTTTACAACTTTGAGTGAACTGTAGAAGCATTACTTCGTTTAGATTATTTTATAGGCCCCCCTTTTAATTATAATTGTCTTAAGTGTTTCCTCTACATACATTGAGTACTATATTGCATGATGTTATAGTTTTTGCTTCAGCCATCAAATATGAGTCAAAAACTTACGAGAAGTGGGTTAATTTCTTATATGTGTCCTGTTTTTACCTATGTCCATGTTTTTTTTTTCTTTTTAAAGTTCCAAGTTCCATAACGTTTCCTGTTATCATCTCCTCTTGTTAAGATAACTTGTTTTATCCATTTTAAGAGTAGGTTTGATAGCAACAAATTATCTTCGTTTTCCTTCACCTAAGAACGTCTTTATTTCTCCTTCTTTCTTGAAGGATATTTTCACAGGATATATAATTTGTACTTGATGGTTATTTTCTTTTAGTATTTGAAAATGTTCCCTCGCAGAGCATTTTCTTATCCCTTTTTCTAGTCTTCAGGCTCCCCTTATTATTCAGAAAACCTGTCTCTCAAGGATTTCAAATTATTGTATTTTTATGCAAACAATGTGTCTCCTTTCTGAAGCGCTTCCTTTAGTGCCATGTCGAGGGAGCCTTGCCTTTGTCAACAAAAATGCTCATTGGGACTCTTTCCCAAACATGACATCCAGTAGTACCTAGAATTTAAGAAAGTGGAAGCCTGACAACCTATTTTATAGCATTTATTTGCCTGTTATATATGTTACATTTCCATAAAGTTAGAACTGTTTTACATAAAACTGCATTTAAATTAATTTTAAAGCATTTGTGGGTACACTAGCATATGCACGTAAATAATTTTAAACATAGTTCTTAATTCTTGTGATGCGTTGGAATAATCTGAAGGCCTTTTTAAAAATGCTGATGCTGGGGCTCCATACCTACAAATTCTTACTCAGTTTGCTATGATGGGCTACAAGCTTTGTATTCTCCCATTCATAAAGGTCAAAACCTCAGGTCATTTTGGATTCCTCTCACATCTTCATTTCTTATATAATTAATTCCTGTATATGCTTCTGTGGAATTTTGGTCAATATTTACTTTTCCTTTCTGTATGCCTAACCATTATGCTAATTCACCCTCTCATTAATGTCTACTATTACCATAATAACAGTCTCCTAAATATTCTCTCTAATATTTCTCCTGGCATTAGGGCTATAATGGAAATGAATAATAGTTACTATTCACTAAGAATTTCCAATGTAAAGGGTATAGTGCTAGATATGCTAAGTCATTTAGACCTGACAATGACCTTGATATACAGATTTTATTTTCTTTCCCATATTACGCAGATGGAAACGGAAGCACTGATAGACTACAGGCCATCTTATCATGCTTAAAAGTGGAAAAACTGTGAGTAAAATTCAAATATATTTAATTTTTAAGTGTCTCCTCTTAAAATATTCTGTCTCTCATTCTCATTCTGTATGAAGTGTGATATGGTTCGGCTCTGTGTCCCCACCCAAATCTCATATCGAATTGTGATTCCCATTGTTGGAGGTGAGGCCTGGTGGGAGGTGATTCGGTCATGGGGGTGGTTTCTAATGGTTTAGCACCATCCCCCTAGTGCTATCTCCTGATACAGTTCTCAGGAGATTTATTGTTTGAAAGTATGTAACACCTCCCACTTCGCATGTGTGCACGCACTCTATCTCTTGCTTGTTCGCTCCCTCCCTCCCTCCCTCTCTCCTGCCAGCCATGTGAATATGTGCTTGCTTTCCCGTCACCTTCCGCCATGATTGTAAGTTTCCTGAAGCCTCCCCAGAAGCAGAAGCCTGTACAGCCCACAGAACTGTGAGCTGATTAAACCTCTTTTCTTTATAAATTAACCAGTCTCTGGTATGTCTTTATGGCAGTGTGAGAATGGACTAATACAAGGTGCATTCTTGTGTGACAATTTAATGTTTCTTTATCCTCTCTAGTGCATGCTTCCTGAGGGCAGAAATTTTATGTGCTTTTCACACAAAAATTGTTAAGTTTGCAGACTTTATTTAGTAAAAGTTGAATAATAGAATACTTTGCAATACAAGATAAAGTTTATTGGAAAGTTACAGCATTTTTTTTGTCTTCTCAGAGATTATATTTTTGTTTTAAGTCAGTAATGATCCTTCACCTTCATATTATTAATTTGTTTTGACTATCCACTATTTAAATGCAGTACAAAAATAAATGCCAGCTCCATAATAAAATCTCCATGATTCCAAATTAGTGAATAAAAACATTATGAATAAGATTATTTAGCTACCAAAATTGTCCCTTCAAAACTCAAATTATATTATATAATCATTAGATGCCGTCAGTACCATCTTAGGCATGTATTACTGTTAAAAGCTTAAAAATGATATTATTTTAAGAAGAAAATATGATTTTGGCTCTATCATATTATCTCAATGTTATATAAAGTATGCACAGAGAAAAAGACAGACAGGATGTTGCACTGAAATATTACCTGCTTGTGAGATGACAAGTGTTTTTTTTCTACCTTCTGCCTTCTGTTTTAAATTTTTTAATGGAAAATAATATCTTATACTTGAATGGAAAACAGAAAGCTTATTTTTAAAAAGGAATATTTTATAAATAACTACAGATTACTCAAGAAAATTGAAGGTAAATATTCTAGGAAAACCAAAAGAAGTTTATGACTTCTCATTTTAAGTATCACAACCAAACAAACAAACAATAATGGGGATGAAGGCCAAGTAAATTTTATTATCGACTGAAGAATATTAGTGTTTTGGCCATGACAGAAAGTTTGAAAATATCATAAATATTGAAACAAGGGAATGACAAAAAATGTCAGAGATAAGACCCAAGAAATACCTCTTACTATTTTCTATTAACAGAAGGTTACTAAAACATTCATAGCCCAAGGCCCTACTGGGCTAATTTTTTTTTTTTTGGAAGATGCTACAGCAGCACAAAAACCCACTGGTAGATATCTCTGAATATACTCTATGAGCCGAAGGAGCAATATTTAAAGCATAACAAAGCTATTTTTATATATGTATGGACCATCTAAACATTTACACGATTTACAGATAAATTTATGCCAGCTCCATAATAAAAGCTCCATGATTCCAAATTAGTGCTAAAAACATTATGAACAAGATTATTTAGCTACCAAAATTGTCCCTTCAAAACTCATATTATATAATGATTAGATGCCATCAGTACCATCTCAGGTATGTATTACTGTTAAAAGCTTAAAAATGATACTATTTTAAGAAGGAAAATATGATTTTGGCTCTAGTATCATTATTAACAGAAAAATACTTAGTATAGAATAGATTAAAATGCTGAAAAGAGGTTTTAATGACCAGTTCATTACAATTCCCTAAAATCTAGCAGTAAAAAATAAACTATGAGGATATGAATTATAAAATGTTCATTAAGCAACTTTTCAAATACTGAGTCCCTAGTGTGAGTTGTAAAGGCACATGTTTCTGGCAGAGGGTAGGGTATCTGCACACACCCAAAAGCAGACATCTTCAAGCTTGTGAATATTTGAAAGATGTGGTACACAGCATGATGAGAAAGGAAAGTTCAGCGAGATAGGACCCTGTAAACTATATTCAGAGAAGAGAGTTACAGGACAGAATTCAAATTTTTCACACTGTCTTGTGATAAACAGATATAATTGGTGTGGAGGAGTGGCAGGTGTATCAGTCAGGGTCTAGCAGGAAATAGATGGTACAGTCAAAGGGGACAAAAGGCACTTCATAATCACTTTTTCAAAGGTGGGGTCAGGGTTAAAGAAAGCCAACACAGGTTGTTGAAAGCTCCAAGGCCTAGCAGCAGCTTAAAGGGGCAAGGAAAGAACTCACAGGAACCTAGGAAAAAACTATAGTTGCCAAAGGTGTGGTAATAGAAGCTGTGACTGTAAGATAGGGAAGTCATCATTGTCCAACCACTGCCCATTAAGGGAGCAAAAGGGGACTAAATCCCCTAAGGTCCCATCTCCTGCAGGTGAATTCACATTTGCCAAACCCAGCAAAAGCCCAAGCCTGTGAATGCCATTATGGCAGTTAGCCTCCAGAAGCCTAAAGCACGATACAAGGGTAGATGATAGATCTGGAGGTGCAAATGGAAAATATCTAGGGTAGGCTGTGCTGAGAGGCAGAAAGAGAAAGGAGTCCAAAGCAGTGGTCAGAGTTAGGAATGATGGTGTTGAGACTGGAGAGATGGTCGGAAAAGGAGAGAAGTCAGAGAATTTGTGGATGGGAATTTTCAGAACAGATATCTCTTTCTAAACCATTCCCTTTTCTAGTTACATTGTCTTTAAGTTGACAAGAATGATACAGCAATTGTGAATTTTTTGATAAATGACGACTATAAGTATCATTAACACATAACTATTTTATCACTACCTTAGATGTTTAATTTTATAGAGCCCTACCTGCCAAGTATTAAGTGACTTCATGTTTATTCCTTTTAACACCCATGTGAGGTAGATATAATTATTTCTATTTAAGATATAATTTGTTTTTGAGACAGGGTCTTGCTCTGTCATCCAGGCTGCAGTATAGTGGCACCATCTCAGCTCACTTCAACGTTTTCGCTTCCCAGGCTCAAGTGATTCTCCCACCTCAGCCTCCTGAGTCACTGGGACCACAGGCACATGCCACCACGCCTGGCTAATATTGTATTTTATGTAGAGACAGGGTTTTGCCATGTTGCTCAGGCTGGTCTTGAACTCCTGGACTCAAGGGATCTACCCACCTCAGCCTCCCAAAATGCTGGGATTACAGGCGTGAGCCACAGCACCTGGCCAGAAATGGAAGATTAAATCATTTGTTCAAGTCAGAGAGGGAGCCACCATTTGACCACATGGCCACCATATTATCTTGCCTCACCAGTCTGCCACGCTGTTGCTCTATCTCCTATACGGGTTTCTAGGTTTGATGCTGTGGACTTGAAAAGTATGTATAAATCTCAACCTTGACTTTGAATGTGTAATCTAACTGGGGAATGGGACACATATCCAAAGTGATACACGATGGCACACAATTACATAATAATGACTGAATGGGTGGTATGGTTCATTTCAGAGGAGTAAGGATGTCATCACTGAAGGGAGGGGACAATCTGCATGAAATAAAAATTAGACTCTGTCCTACAGTTTTAGGAAGAGATTTGATTATCACAATTATATGACTGTCCATACATACATACACAGACACAGAGATATCCAATATGGATATTTATTACAATATCTGTTCTGTACTGTCAAGGCACAAATATAGTTCCACCTATAGTATATTTTTAACAACAATTCAAAATTTTATCTGACCTACTTATATGAGCCTTGTCCCTGCATTGCATTACCAAACTGGCTGAAAACTTCAGACTATATTTATTCCAAAAGCTGTCATTTTTATTCTGCATACCAGGGAGAAGGAGAAACAGGGTTATTTGCTGAATAGTACCTCTTACTTTTGGGATGCCTGATGCTATTACTTCAGCAGACTGGTCTGTCCTGGTCTAAGTCGCAATTTTCAACTGTGTGCCAGTGTCCTTGCTGGTTGTTTCTTGCCTGTACCAAAGTTGTGTTGCATCCTTGGGAAGCATGATCATAGGTGTCTTGCTTCACAGTTGCAAACTCGGGCATTGTCTTTCAAAGCACTAGTACTTTGCAGGGCTGCTGGGTGCCCAGTGCATGAGACCTGACCTCGATCAAAAATTCCTGACACTCTTCTTAGTCAAGGTTTCCAGCACAAATTCCCCCACCTTCCTAAAAAGTCTTATTTTGGATATTCTCGTATGTATGTATGTGTGTGTGTGTGTGTGTGTGTGTGTGTGTGTGTGTGTGTGTGTATACACATATATATACTATCTCTTCTTAGGAAACAAGCTCTGTATACTAAGGATATGAGACACTATTTTTTAATCCACTGCGGCAAATAAGGGCCTATTTTTCTGCACTTACAAAGTTAAGTGGGCTGCACTGTTAACTTTTCACAGGTTTTGAAAGTATAATCACTAAAAATTTTTAATTAAAAAATTTAACTCTATACTTAATAATAATGTATACTCCAAGATAACTAAAAGAAAAGATTTTAAATGTTCTCACCACAAATAAGTTATAAATATTTGGGATGATGGATATGCTAAGTAGCCGTATTTGGTCATCCCAAAATGTATACATGTATGCACACAGCACATCAATATATACAATTATTTGTCAATAAAAAATAAAATAAAACTTTAAAAAGCATAATTTAAAAATTTTATTATTTTATTTTTTCATAATAAAAGTTTAAAAAATAAAAAAGTAGGCCGGGCGCAGTGGCTCACACCTGTAATCCCAGTACTTTGGGAGATCGAGGTTGGCAGATCACAATGTCAAGAGATCGAGACCATCCTGGCCAACATGGTGAAACCCTGTCTCTACTAAAAGTACAAAAATTAGCTGGGTGTGGTGGCATGTGCCTGTCGTCCTGGGTACTCAGGAGGCTGAGGCAGGAGAGTCGCTTAAATCCAGGAGGTGGAGGTTGCAGTGAGCCAAGATCATGCCACTGCACTCCAGCCTGGCAACAGAGTGAGACTCAGTCAAAAGAATAAAAAAGTAAAATGTTGATTGAGTGAAAAGAAAAAAGCACAGAAATATTATATTTCATTAGTACTGAAAACCAAATGTGGGCATTTTGACATTCAATTACTGAGTTTATTTTTGGAAGTTGGTTGGTGTTGCATATTACAGACAATCCTGAATAAGTTGAGGAGATAGGGCTATATCCAAAGATCCAAAGTGTCCTGGATTATCAATTAATTTCACATAAAAAATATGCCTTCAGCGCTATGAATCCAAACCTAGTATATATACAGTTGTTTGGACTGGAAAGCAAACATACCAGTAAGTGGGGGAAAATAAGATGTCCATATTCACTTAAGTATTTCATCTGTTTTATAAAGATACTCAGAGGTATTTATGTTTGCTGTCTCTTTTTCCTCTTTAGTAAGCCATTTTTAAAAATTGGCTAATGCTACTTTTCATCCAACTTAAAAGCATAATAGAGATTGGCAAACAGTGAAATTGAGGTGATTTTTATGCTTGGGATGACTTAAAAATCATTATACTAGAGGAGTAGTTTAGTATTGCCTGGCTTGTGATAAATGTTACCATGCAATAAAAATCCTGAAATCTCTGTATTATCCTTAGCTTTATGGGTTCAATGCATATGGAAATGCAAATACTCAAATTACAAGCAATAGAACTTCAAAGCTCAATTGAACATCTGTGTCTTTCCTTTGGTAAAACTTGGTGATGGGCAAGAGACAAAACTTTGGTTTTATAAATATCCTTGACTATCTTCACAATGGAAGAATCCCCAAAAAGCAAAACAAGCATATATGCTATATTATTGATATCATATAGAAATTCTGTGACCTGCTGGATGAACATCTTACACACATTCACATACACACACAAACACACACACACGTAGCACTTTGGGGATAATATGTCCTACTCGTTTGTATTTTGGAATCTATTTTTTGGTCATTGTCCTTTTCAGCAGAATTTTTTTAACATTAGCTGCATCTATCACCCCTTTTTAGACCACTCTGATTATAGATTTCACTGGGGGCAGGGTAGGATATAAGAAGAACAACAACAATAGTATTTTAAAGTGAGAATTTAGTATAACACAAAGAGTCTTAACTAGGGCAGAGGCATCAGATTAGAAGGCTCTGCCATTAGAAAGCAAACTTGAAAATAAATGCAAGAGAAAGACCATAACACCTGAGACAAATCAAAATGAGCTGGTGAGGAGACATTGAACCATATGTAAAATCAGTCCTCGTTTCTCCTTTATCATTAGGTTAGTCCTTAAAACTAGGTATAGAGTCTGAATACAGTTCCATTCAAGTGTTCATTCCATATCTATTAAATATCTAAAACGTCTGAAGCAAGGGAGTAGTGGGTGTAGGAAATAAAAAGAGTTACTTTTATGCAGTAGACAGTCTTGTTGGAAAGACAAGACGTTAAACACACATAACTCAGTATGCATTGAAACTATGTGGAAGATAGTAGATGGTTAGGTGCCAAAACAAATATTAGAAAGTGAACAGTAAAGGAGGTGAGTGAGAGGAGTTACACATGTAGATAAGAGAAGACAATAGAATTAGAACAAGATTTTGTAAAATGTGGTTCAGAAGTAGGCATATGATTAGTGCATGTCTTTCTAAGTGGCAAGTCCAGCAAAGCCATGGTATTAAGGCAGTAAGAGTATCCAGGGCACAATATACTTTTGGCTAATATTAAAGAATGAGGCATGTTTGGGAGTTTCAGAAATAAGACAAAACAGAAATACTTATCATTTATTGAGTATTACTATATATCAGACATTTTACATATTGTCTTAGTAACATAATGGTTTAAATACTATCATCACCATTTTATAGAAAGAAAAACACAAAAAACAAAGAGATTTGAGTCAAACTAAAGAGACTCTCAGAAAAGCAACAATGCTATATATTCTGTGTGTGTAAGTGAGAGAAAATCTGCAGCAGGAAATCCAGAGAGCTAAGAATTGGGAAGGTAGGGATAATATACATTTTGTGAATTAAATTTCATTTTTCACAGGCCACTGACCTTTTTTAAAAAGCTAATCTGTAAAGTGAATTAAAGAATGTCAGTCCAAGAAAATTCTTAGCTTCAGTGGAATAAATTCACAGTATTAACACTGAATGGTGAGAAAGCAAAATTGCTTCTCTTTGAGGTAATGACAGATGTCATCGGATACAATTTTTAAAAGATTTCATCTATCATGAAGATGCAAAACTCTGCTATACAGATTCTGCTATCATTAACTAAATAGGTATTGTACCCAAAAAAGTCACTTAACTATCCTCAGAGATAAAATGGGAGAAGTACAGAGGACATAAGAACAGTTTGACAAACCTTACAGAAGATAATAAAACTTAGCCATTCTTTTCTTGTTTTCTCTAAGTTTGCAGAGCTCCTGCATCCATCAATTTTCTCTTTCCCTGCCTCCCTCCCACCGTCCATCCGTCTCTCTGTCCGTCCCTCTGTCCTTCCGTCCTTTTTTTTTCCCTTATGATGATTTGGATACTGATAAATATATCATAGAAAGTATGAGAACACAATAATTATTCAGTTATTAAAAGTATAAAACCTGGTAAGGATCTGAAGCAGATGAAGGTGGATCTTAATCTGAAGAACATGTAATTCATACCTGAGGTTTTAATTTTTTAAGTGTATTAGTGAGCAAATGCAAACATTGGGAACAGGGTAGTTTACTTGGCTGTTCTAGTGACTAGGGCAAAGAAATAGAAATAGCTTTTCTAAAATTTGAATAAGTGATATAGGATCTGTGGTTTTAGGGCACTGTTTTTGAAATCTGACAAGTTTCACTTACGGGTATGCTGAAGAGATGAGTCATGGTGTTACATAACGACATAAGGTGGAAGAAATTCACAATCTCACATCAGTACATAGATCTTAGAAAAAGTAGGTAGTAGGATGTCAAACTCAAATAAAAAGATTTCATCTGGATCATCAACTTCTTTATATAAGTTGTCTGTCATTTGACAGCTGTCAGCAGCATCTTTTGGTAGCTATTAAAATATTTTTAATGTAAACGCAAAAAGTTTTCTTTCTAGGTTATAGTCTTTTCAATTTGTAAAATATATTTTTTCAGTTTCCAGAAATGTCTATAATATATCAAGGAATACAGGGAAAATAAATCAATATTTAGAATATAGAATATAAATTTCTGATTTATCAGCGTATCTCCAGAATAATATTGGTAACATGAGATTAATTGAGCAATTTTTATTTTAAATATGCAACATGTTTAGGTTGAGGAATAATAAACTATAGAATTTGTGAGTTTAAAGGGTTGAATGTGGTAGAGTAGGAAACTTCCACTTCCGATTAAGTTCAACAGGGATCAGATATTCTCTCTTGCCTACATCAATTTTTTAAAAAGAAACATATTTAAAATAATAATTTTCAGGACACTGGATATCAGGCAAACAAGAACTGTGATCCTTGGGAGCTGGTAAGCAATTAGTGGAGCCCTGGAGTTACCCCAGCTTACTTCTCTGAGAGAGTTTTCAGTCCATGGTACGGGGAGAGCAAACTCAAACAGAGCTTCATGGACTGCCTAAGTTGAGAAGATAGAGATGAGAATCCAGAGAGATTCAGGTAGCTGGAGTTCATGGAACAGGAGCCCAAGATGGAGACAGTTGCTGAGAGACCGAACTTTGGAGATCTCTAGAGGGTTTCCCCCAAGTACTCAGCTGAGTACCATGGGAGAAAGCTACCCAAGCCGGAAGAAAGAACCATCAGAAAGTATTAATGAGAACAGCGTCTGGTGCTTACATAGGGCTCTGAGCCATGGCTTTCCTATCAGCTACGTTGGAGAACAATGTAATTTGGGGGCACTGGACACAGTGCACAGAAGAATCTAGACTTACTAGTAGGGAATAATTAAACTATGGTTGTTCTCTTACAGCTTAATAAATCTCACAACCAAGAACAAAATGGATCAAACAATGTTTAGGTAATTTAACTACATTGTAGAACAAAGCTCAAAAATATATATGGGAATGGAAAAATATATAGCACCCAACAAAGCAAAATTCAAAATATCTTGTGATATTTGTGTGTGTGTGTGTATGTGTGTGATCAAAGCTTATCAGCCATAAAACAAGTCTTATCAAATTAAAAAAATTCAAGTCATATAAAGAATGTTCTCTGACCACGATGGAATAAACTGCAAGCTAATTTTTTAAAAAGATATTTGGAATAATCTCAAAATATTTGGAAACTGAATATCATACTTATATATAATCCATGAATTAAGAAAGAAATGAAATGAGAAATTAGAATATAATTTGAATTGAATAAAAAGAAAAACACAACATTAACATTTGCAGGATGCTGCTAAATAGTTCTCAGAAAGGAATTTATAGGATAAACCACCTATATTAAAAAAATTTTCAAGTCTTAAATAAATGATCTCACTACCAACATTAAGAATCTAGAAGGAAAAGAAATTAACCCCAAAGGGGAAAAAATCAGTGTAGAAAATAATAAATAGAAACAGAAAAACAATATTAAAATTAATGAAATCAAAAGCTGTTTATTTGAAATCAACAAAATTGAAAAACTTCTCGCCAGACTGATTAGAAAAAAAAGAGAAGATACGAATGACCAATTTCAGAAATGAGAGATATGACATGACAGATTCAAAAATACTAGATGTATAATAAACAAACATTATGAATACTTTTATGCCTATTAAATGGAAAACTTAGCTGAAACTGACATATTCCTTGAAAGATGCGAACTATAAAAGCTCAATCCAGAAAGAAGAAACCAGAATAAACTTAAGTCTATTAAAGGAATTGAATTTGTTCTTCCTACAAGACTCCAGGCCCATTTGTTTCACTAGTGTATTCTACCACACATTTAAGAAAGAAGCAATATACATGTATACAAACTTTTCCAGAAAATTAAAGAGGACGAAATACTTCCTAAGTATTTTCCCAAGCTCTGAATAACTTTACACACACACAAAACCACACAGACCAACAGCTTTCCTGTATAAAGACACAAAGATTTTTAAGCATAATTTTTAGCAAATCATATTCAAACATGTGAATATGCAAAATATAATGATCAAGTGAGGATTATCACAGGAATACAAAATTGGTTTAAAATTCAAAAATCAACCAATTTAATTCACCCAATTATTAATACTAACAAAATTTTAAAAGACCTTATGATCATCTCAAGTCATGCAAAAAACCTACAGAAGACGCTATGCATTTCTCATAAAAATTCACAGTCAACTAGGAATATGAAGGAACTTCCTTCAACTGATAAATTGCATCTCTGCAAAATCTACAGGTATCATTAAATTTAATATTAGATACAACAATGTATGTTCTTTCCCTAATATTGAGAACAAGACAAGAATGTACAGAATCTACTGGAGGCTCTAAACTAGAGGAATAAAGCAAGAAAAATAAGAAAACTTCAGCATGGAAAGGAAAGAATAATATGCCTTTCTCTACAGATAGCATTGTCTTCTATGAACAATATTCCAAGGAATCTACAAAAAAAGCTATTACAACTAATAAGTGAATTTTACAAGGTTGTGTGATACAAATTGATAAACAAAAAGCAAACATATTTCTAAATATTGGAAGTTGAAATATTAAAAATCAATACCTTTTTGTTTGTTTTTTGAGACGGAATCTCGCTCTGTCACCAAGGCTGGAGTGCAGTGGCGAGATCTCGGCTCACTGCAAGGTCCGCCTCCCGGGTTCGAGCCATTCTCCTGCCTTAGCCTCCCGAGTAGCTGGGACTACAGGTGCCTGCCACCATGCCCAGCTAATTTTTGTATTTTTAGTAGAGATGGGGTTTCACCGTGTTAGCCAGGATGGTCTCGATCTCCTCACCTCATGATCCACCCACCTCGGCCTCCCAAAGTGCTGGGATTACAGGCGTGAGCCCCTGTACCCAGCCAACCAATACCTTTTAATTAGCATCAAAATTAAGAAATATTTAAGGGTAAGTATTACAAAAGATGTGAAAAACTTATTCAATGAAACTACAGCATTTTAGGAAGATAAAGAAGGCTTAAATACACCTTGCTCAAGAGTTGGAACACAATATAGTTACAATGCTATTTCTCCTCAGATAAATCCACAGATTCTTTGAGATCCCAATCAAAATATCAGCAGTCTTTTTTGCAAAAATTAACCAACTGGTTTAAAATTTACATGGAAATGCAAAGTATCTAAAATAGCCAAAACGTCATTAAAAAAGAAAAAACTTAGTTGATTTAGCCAATTCTACTTGATTTGAAGATTTACTGTAAAGCTACAATAATTAAGAAAGTTTAGCATTAGCATAAAGAAAAGCACATAAATCAATGGAAAAAATAGATTCCAGAAATAGTATCAAACATATATAAACATATGCCCTTTTTATATAAAGGGCAAAGGCACTTCCGTGGGGGAAGACAGTATTTTCACCAAAATGGTGCTAGAATAATTGGATATTCATACACATATGCACACAAAATTGACTTTGATCCATAGCTCACACCATATATAAAAATTCAGTATGATGCATAAACCTAAACATAAATCCTAAAATTGTGAAACATTTGAAGTAAAACATAGGTGAACATTGTTGTGATGTAGGCTAAGATTTCTTAGATACAACACCAAAAGTAATATCCATGAAAATAAATAAATGGGATTTCATTAAAATTTAAGATATCCTGTTATTCAAAACATTCATATGAGAATAAAAAGACAAACCACAGGGTGATAGAAAAATTTATCAAAGCACATATCTGTTAAAAGACTTATATCAATAACATATTAGAAATTTTCAAAACTCAAGAGAGCAATAAAAATACAGAAAATGGACAAAAATTTGAGCAGACAGCAAACTAAATGATACATGAATGACAAGCACATGAAAAGATGCTCAACATAATCAGTCATTAGGCAAATGCAAATTAAAACTACAATGAGAAACTATTACATACTACTAGAATAGCTAAATTAAAAACAGTGAACTATTAACTGTTGTTAAGGATGGAGAAGAGGTGAAACTTTTATACACTTCTGTGTGAACCTAAAATGGTATAAATACTTTGGAAAAAATGGCAGTTTCTTAAAATGTTAAACATATGCCTACTCTGTGATCCAAGATTCCATTCCTAGGAATCTATTGCAAGAAAATAAAGCATAGTCCAGATAAAGATTTGGATAGAGATGTTTATTTGTCTTAATCATAATAACCAAAAATTTGAAAAAAACACTATTGTCTATGACTAAATAAATGAATAAACAAATTGTGATGGATCTATGCAGTGGAATACTACTCAAGAACACATAGGAACAAACTACTGATTCATTCAACAACATGTCTGAATATCAAAATAATTATGCTGAGTGAAAGAAGCCAACCTACCCCCGCAAAAAAAAAAAAAAAAAAAAAAAAGGCTACATACTGTGTGATTCTCATTTCTATAAAACTCTAAAAGAAGGCAAACGCATCTATAGTGATAAAAAGCAGACCAGTTGCCTGGGGATGCAAGGAGGTTAGACTACATTGCGTTCATGGTAAAAGCTTATCAAATTGTGCACTTCAAATAGGTGTGGTTTGTTGTATGCCAATTATACCTCGATAAATCTGGCAAAATAGAACATTGGCAATTTCATGTGTTAAATCTGTACAAACATTTCATTCAATATATTCACAGAAATATCTTGAAGATATAGGGCAGGATGTGTATTTAGGATATTGCTTTTAAATTACTTTGTTAAACTTGTATTAATTCATTCAGTTGTTCCACATATGTTACTGAGTGTCTACCATGTGTCAGGAATTCCACTGTGAAAGCTTTTTTGCATTGTTTATTATTATTTTTTCCTTAATGTAAGTCTATTTTTTAAAAGCTTAGTATGCCACTAGAAGCCCAACTGCCACTATTATGCATGTAATACCCATTTGACAAACAAGCACATGTACCCTCTGGATCTAAAATTTAAAACAAGAAACTTAGTATGCAAAAAAGTTTTACTTAATTTAGCATTTCAGTTAACTGTAAAGTAGCCAGTCAAAAAATATTTGTTTATTTTTTCGAGTTTTTAAAAAATTTAACTTTTTTATTTCAATAGGTTTTTGGGGAACAATTGGTGCTTGGTTACACGAATAGGTTCTTTCGTGGTGATTTCTGAGATTATGGTGCACCCATCACCCAAGCAGTGTACACTGTACCCAATGTGTAGTCTTTTATCCCTTGCCACCCTCCACCTTTTCCCCCAAGTCCCTAAAGTCCAATGTATCATTCTTACACCTTTGCGTCTTCATAGCTTAGCTCCCACATATGAATGAGATCATACAATGGTTGGTTTTTCATTCCTGAGTTACTTCACTTAGACTAATAGTCTCCAATTCCATGCAGGTTGCTTCGAAAGCCATCATCTCATTCCTTTTTATGGCTGAGTAGTTGTCCATGGTGTCTGTATATATCATTTTCTTTGTCTGCTCGTTGATGGATGGATATTTAGGCTGGTTCCATATTTTTGCAATTGCAAATTGTGCTGCTATAAACATGCATATGCAAGTAGCTTTTTCGTATAATGACTTCTTTTCCTCTGTGTAGATACCTAGTAGTGAGATTGCAGGATCGAATGGGGTAGATCTACTTTTAGTACTTTAAGGAGTCTCCAAACTGTTTTCCATTGTCGTTGTACTAGTTCATATCCCACCAAGACTGTAAAAGTATTCCCCTTCACCATGTCCAGGACAACATCTGTTATTTTTTTGATTTTTTGATTATGGCCATTCTTGCAGGAGTGAGGTGGTATTACATTGTGGTTTTGATTTCCATTTCCCTGATAATTAGTAATGTTCAGCATTTTTCCATATGCTTGCTGTCCATTTGTATATCTTCTTTTGAGATCTGTCTATTCATGTCCTCAGCCCACTTTTTGATGGGATTGTTTTTTTCTGGCTGATTTGTTTGAGTTCTTTGTAGATTCTGAATATTAGTCCTTTGTTAGCTGTATAGATTGTGAAGATTTTCTCCAACTCTGTGGGTTGTCTATCGAGTCTGCTGATTATTTCCTTTGCTGTGCAGAATCTTTTTAGTTTAATTAAGTCCCATCTATTTATCTTTGTTTTTGTTCCATTTGCTTTTGGGTTTTGGGTCATGAAGTCTTTGCCTAAGTGAATGTCTAGAAGGGTTTTTTTCCAACATTATCTACTAGTATCTTTATGGTTTCAGGCCTTAGATTTAGGCCTTTGATCCATCTTGAGTTGATTTTTGTATAAGGTGAGAGGTGAGGATCCAGTTTCATTCTTCTACATGTGGCTTGCCAATTATCCCAGCACCATTTGCTGAATAAGTTGTCCTTTCCCCACTTCATGTTTCTGTTTGCTTTGTTGAAGATCAGTTGGCTGTAAGTATTTGCCTTTATTTCTGGGTTTACTATTCTGTTCAATTGGTCTATGTAACTATTTTTATACAAGTACCATGCTGTTTTGGTGTCTATGGCCTTATAGTATAGTTTGAAGTCAGGTAATGCGGTGCCTCTAGATTTGTTCTTTTTGCTTAGTCTTGCTTTGGCTGTGCAGGCTCTTTTTTGATTCCATAGGAATTTTAGGACTCTTTTTTCTAGTTCTGTGAGGAATGATGGTGGTATTTTAATGGGAACTGCATTGAATTTGTAGATTGCTTTTGGCAGTATTGTCATTTTCACAATATTCTACTTATCCGTGAGCATGGATGTGTTTTAATTTGTTTGTGTCACCTATGATTCTTTCAGCAGTGTTTTGTAGTTCTCCTTGCAGAGATCTTTCCCATCCTTGGTTAGGCATATTTCTAAGTATTTTATTTTTCATTTTTGCAGCTATTGTAAAAGGTGTTGAGTTCCTGATTTGATTCTCAACTTGGTCACTGTCAGTGTATAGCAGAACTACTGATTTGTGTACATTAATTTTGTATCCTAAAACTTTGTTGAATTCATTTACTAATTCTCAGAGCTTTTTGGATGAGTCTTTGGGGTGTTCTAGGTATACAATCATATCATCAGCAACGGTAACAGTTTGACTTCCTCTTTACTGATTTGAATTACCTTTAGTTATTTCTCTTGTCTGATTGCTATGGCTAGGACTTCCAGTACTATGTTGAATAGAAGTAGTGGAAGTGGGCATCCTTGTCTTGTTCCAGTTCTCAGGGCGAATGCTTTCAACTTTTCCCCATTCAGTATAATGTTGGCTGTGGGTACTTCATAGATGGCTTTTATTACCTTAAGGTATATCCCTTCTATGCTAATTTTGCTGCGAGTTTTAATCATAAAGCGATGCTGGATTTTGTCAAATGCTTTTTCTGCATCTATTGGGATGATCATGTTATTTTTGTTTTTAATTGTTTATGTGGTGTATTACATTTATTGACTTATGTATGTAACCATCCCTGAATCTCTGATATGAAACCCACTTGGTCATGGTGGATTATATTTTTGAAATGCTTCTGGATTTGGTTCACTAGTATTTTGTTGAGGATTTTTGCATCAGGGATATTGGTCTGTAGTTTTCTTTTTTGTTATGTCCTTCCCTGGTATTGGTATTAGGGTGATACTTCATGGAATGATTTAGGGAGGATTTCCTCTTTCTCTGTCTTTGGAATAGTGTCAATAAGATTGGTAGTAATTCTTCTTTGAATGTCTGGTAGAATTCAGCTGTGAATCCATCTTGTCCTTGACTTTGTTTTTTTTGTTTTTTTTTTTTTTTTTGGTTGGCAATTTTTTTTTATTACCATTTCAATCTCGCTGCTTGTTATTGGTCTGTTCAGAGATTCTATATCTTCCTGGTTTAATCTAGGAGGGTTGTCTATTTCCAGGAATTTATCCATCTTCTCTAGGTTTTCTAGTTTATGCGTGTAAAGGTGTTCATGGTAGCCTTGAATGATCTTTTGTATTTCTGTGGTATCAGTTGTAATATCTCTCGTTTCATTTCTCATTGAGCTTATCTGGATCTTCTCTCTTTTTGTTAATCTCACTAATCATGTATCAATTTTATTTATCTTTTCAAAGAACCAGCTTTATGTTTTATCTTTTGTATTTTTTTGTTTCAGTTTCATTTAGTTCTGCTCTGATCTTCATTATTTCTCTTCTTCTGCTAGGTTTAGGTTTGGATTGTTCTTGTTTCTCTAGTTCCATGAGGTGTGACCTTAGATTGTCTATTTGTGCTCTTTCATACTTTTTGATGTAGGCATTTAATGCTATGAACTTGCCTCTTAGCACTGCTTTTGTTCTATCCCAGAGGTTTTGATAGGTTCTGTCACTATTATTAATTTAGCATTTCAGTTAATTGTAAAATAGTAAAAAAATTAGAATAAGTAGAAAGATTTAAATAGTGGCCTTTATAATGATCAGTTTATTCTTTTATTCTCTCAGTATATTCTGTGTGACACTCCTTGACAAGCTAGAATACAATTTTGAAAAGGTGTGGTTCTATGACAGTTAAGCCACCTAAGACAATATTTGTGAAACTGTATGTGCAAGTCAAGAGAAAGGAATCAGACCAAAGCATTTTGTCCTCGGGCTTAATAAAAGCATTTAGTGTTAATTGACTTAAACATTAGAGTCTTTAAGTACATCACTAATATTTAAAGTATTATCAGAAGAGGACATTACATTTGAAAACTTACTGCCCAACCTAATCACCCTCTCCAATGAACTTATATAACAATAGCAACAACAACAACAGCAACAGGAAGCTGTCTAACTTGTTCTCTGTGTTTCTAGGAAATTGTATCAGCCTAATCATGGATCTTCACCTTCATGAGTCCTGGAGAAAACCATTCAAAAGCCTTTACATCTAGATAATATCACTCAAGAAACACGTTCAGGTTATCTTAATATTGAAAGTCAGGTGTCTCACAGCAACGAAAGCTAACGAATGTGACATCAGTCACTGTAATAACTTTAGAATGAATTATTAATCAGAACATTTGTAAATATTCGGAAAACAAAGTGATGGTTATTTGGAGGCAGCAGTGTGGTGCCACTAAAACCAAGCAATACAGACTAATTTTGTTTCCTTCCCTAAATTGTCTAGTTGAGGGTGATTAATAAAACATAGAGAATGTCTAGATTTTAGCAAGGTTTTTGTAAATGTCTCAAACCCCATTCATGTTTATAAGATGAAGGAATGAGGTTTTAGTGAAGTAAGGCCATAGTACACAGAACAAACAGGACCTATGAGATGAAATCAGAAAGCATCTCTCTTTTTGTCTCTCACTGGCCTTTTTAGACTTGATCCAAGAGAGCAGTATTTTCACAGTCCTAGATGAAAACCTGGGCAGCTCCCTGGCTTTTCTGAACCATTTTAGACAGCTAAATATTTTACTGCCTCTTTAAGCTACAAATATATTCATTAAAAATTAAATATATGTTCACATAATAATACAACTTCTATATATGTTTCAGATTAGTTAAATTAATCTTCCTTCACCTCACCAGAGTACTTTAGGTGGAAAACTGAGGAAAGAACATGGTCCTTCTCTCTTCTACCTCATTTTGCAGTTTGGGACATCCTTAAGGTCATAGAAGAAAGAGGAATGATACATCAAAGGGCAAGAAAATTCTTACTTGCCTACTATGTCCTAAGATGGCTTCACAGTCTGGCAGGTGTTGAAAGCTGAGTCTTTTTATCAAAGCTTGTGTGGATTGTCTGTAGGCCTGCAATGTAAACAAACATGTGCATTTTTTAGGCAATGTATATTAATTACCTCAGTTGGGCCAATCCCCCCTCAGTCTTTGATTTTCTTGTTTGTTTTAAGTACTGCAGTTCACCCAGGGTCTCATTATTGGAAAATTGAGAAATCATTGTACCTTCAGGCATTCTTATTGTGAATGCTTTAAATGGCTCCATGCCTTATATCTATCTCTGCCCATTCCCCAGCCCCCAATCTGTCTCTCCAGGTACACATCTGGCTATAGGTACACATTGTTTGCTCTGACAAACTATACAGGAAAATTGGCAAATTCTAGACCAATGGTATCCCCTCCTTTGTTTTGCCACCAGGTAAGCAGCACATTTCCAGTCTTCTATATTTCTCAGGCAGCAGACTTCCTAACTGCAGTGACTTCTAACATGCTTAGTCCCGTTAAACCTTTTCTCTTTTGATTTGTTTCATATGACATGGCCCCCTATTCCTGTGAGGAGTGGAATAGACAGCATCATTTTCTCAAAGAAATCTTCATAGAAGATGAAATCTTCAGCCTTACTTTCTGTGACCCACCTTATTTCTTGTCTTGTCTTGTCTGTCTGTCTTGCTCTGTCCCCAGGCTGGAGTGCAGTGTTGCGATCTCGGCTGACTGCAAGTTCCGCCTCCCGGGTTCAAGCGATTCTCCCGCCTCCGCCTCACGAGTAGCTGGGGCTACAGGCATGCACCACCACACCCAGCTCATTTTTTTTATTTTTTAGTAGAGACAGGGTTTCACCATGTTGGCCAGGGTGGTCTCAATCTCCTGACCTCGTGATCTGCCTGCCTCGGCCTCCCAAAGTGCTGGGATTACAGGCATAAGCCACTGCTCTCGGCCTTACTTTCAATGTTAAGGTAACTTGAATGTTTTTCTTAAGTGGTATTATCAGGATGTAAAGGCTTTTCAATGGCTTTCTCAAAGATTATTTAAGATAAAAATCAATGATTAAGTTGGCAAATTTTTCATAGAAATTATCTCTATCTTCTTTTGACCGCTTTTTATGAATTGAAAGATTTTTAAAAGTTAAATATTTTTAAAATGCCAGATTCTAATTTTATCTCTTCTCTGTCTTTGTGCCTCAGTTGAAGTCCCCAATTTAACATCCTGATACAGTATGTAGTCAGCTCTACTACCACAGGCAGAGCCCTCATCAACAGACCCAGTTCTATCTGGAAGTAGTCTCTGACGGCATGCCATGGATAACTATCCTTTCAACATTCTAAACAGATAATAGGGATGAAGATTGTAAATGCTTATTTATCAAAAGTTGAGATATTAAACAAAGTTACATAGCTAATTTCTAAAACTAATGAGATAAAATTTAATAAAAACGTGTATAGTCATACATTTAGGTACAGTAAAACACATTCACAGGGATAATAGAAGAGGAGATATGTCTGGTGGCAGTGAGTCAAGATGAATCTCCAGCATCTCTATCAAAGCATAGGGTCTACATTTGACAGATTACTGTAGGATAATGTCTGGTGTTAGACTCTTCACGTTTCCATTGAAATAAATATTACTCAAGTGGCATACAAAAGAAAGGGAATTTATGTCTGTAATAACAGAAAAGTCCAAGGACCTGCTCCGTTCTCGACTGGATCTAGAAGCTGTTAGAGATGTGCCCTTGTCTATGGGTCAGCTCTTCTTTCCTTTGTAGTATATCATTTCTTAGATAAAATCAATAGAAAGGCAAAATAGTCGCCAATAACTTTAACTTTATATCTGTGGTTTAGCAATATGGATAGAAAGCAAGATTTCTTTCCCCATTAGTCTCCATTTCAGTCTCAGGTGGGCTCAGAAAAGTCCAATTAGAGAGCATGTGCTTGTCTCTCAGCCAACGGCTGTGGCCAGTGGTGGGGTTCAACTTCATCTGAGTCATCTGAACTCAAGGTTGACTTAAAGGAGCAGCAAACAAAAGGAATTCCAGATTTTGTTACCAGGAAAGAATGTTAGGCAGGCAGAAATTCAGTTATCTACTACATAAGAACACAATTTTTTAAAGAATGTTGACAAGATATACTGAATTCAGTGAACTATGGATAGATGGAATTAGAAAAGATTTGTAAACCATGTCATATAAAAAATTAGGGAAAATTAGTCATGTTTTGCTTGAACAAGAAAAGAATGAGACAAGGGCTAAGGCAGTAAATGAGGGTTAATTTTATGCGTTATATGAACCAGGACACAAAGTAGAGATTGATTGTTCTTATTTGTCTATAGAAAGCAAAACTTAGAGTAGGGGTTGGAATTTGCATCAAAATTGATTTCTATATTAATTGATTTTATAATAATGTGTGGCAATGTCAACCAATTGAAAAAAAGATTTATGGTCTCACAGGCTATATATCTTCTGTCATTAGTAGTACTCAATATAATACTTCATGTATTTAGTCCAAGAAGTATAAGGCCAAGATTGTAGTAATGATAAACTCTCATTTATTATTCAAAATGGTAGCGTATGAAAAAGAATTGGACCATCCTCCCTGTCCAACTTTGCCTGTCTTAGCTACATTTATGAATAGTAATAATACTACATTCAAATACAGGAGTATATATTTTCTTGCAGATGTTATTTTTGCACTAAAATTATGTGCATTGCTCTAGCTTTTAATATTTTCTGCCCTATAACAAACAATATTGAAAATTCAACTTAGCTGTTCTGAGGTCACATTTTCTTCACTTTATAATTTTATAGTTATACTTTTTCCTCACTTAGAAAATAAACAAAAATTCCAGAAGGCATATTAAATAATGAAAGTTTTTCTAGTGGTATTAGAAATTAATTTGCTAAGCAGAATTGTAAGTGGGATGAACTATGTTCACCCTATTCAGTAGGCATGACTAATGTTCACTTATTAGCCTCTTCTGTTGTTCTAATTATCTCTTTATGGGTCGTTATTCACTAATTTGACTTGCGGAGGAGTTCTGAGTGTAGGAGGCCAGGGATAGGTCTGCAAATACAAACTCGGTGTTCTTTAAGAGTCTTAAAAATTAAAAGCAATCTTGTTTATCTGTGTGCCAAGAATCCTACTCTAACAGAAAAAAAAATCTCAGAAATCCATAGTATTTTTCTGTGACAGCTAAGAAAATAAATTATTTCTTTTTATGTTGACAATACACAAACACACAGATACATACACATATTTTTTGAAAGCTAAAAGAAGGGAGTACTTTAATAAAAATAGGATGCAGAAATAAAGGAAGGAAAGAACATTAAGACTTTACCTGGACTAGAACTAGAAGGTCACCAGGATCTGTGCTATCCAGGAGGAATATATCTTTTACAGGTATATGTTTATATACATAATATATTAATATGCATATTTCTTTCACAAGTATTGGCAATGATTTCAGAGGAAACTGAAATTGATATATCATAGTAGATATGCCAGTAATGGCATTTGCCAAACTCATAATCCCATCCAAGCAGCTGTGTGTTTACCATATAAATCTAGTTTCACATGCCACACCTTTAATAAATCTAAGGTTAAACCCCACACCCAAGAAAAGCAAATCTATACCTTGCTTTTGACCTATGATGAGGCTTTTTTGCATTAGCCCACATTTATTGGATCCATCAAATTTCCTCTTCTGGAAATTTGAACTGGAGAAGAGTAGAAAACCTTAACTTGAAAAATATTCTAATGTGGGCTTCATGAGAGATTGCAGCAAATTGAAGTTATAAGGTAGGAAGGATAAGGCAAATCAGCGGAAATTCAGAAAACATGAAGTGAAATAAATTTACAGATAAGACAGTAAGAATCATCTATGGTGAGAGTCAAAAAAGCCAGAAAGATACCACGGAGAAAGATAGATTGGGAAGTTCATCCTTGGAATTGTCTGAAATTCTAAAGACATTCTAGTTCCAGTTCAAGCAAATGTCCACCATTTTCTCCTTTCTCCTTGTCCTATCATTTAACTTAAATTTCTCATTCTTAATACTCAAAAACAGTTCTGAACTTAACAAGAGTCAGCATAAAAAAATGGTTAAGAGAAAAAAAGAGTTTAAAGTGCAGTTCTGTTATTTACTAACTGTGTGATCTCAAGCAAGTTACTTAATGATCGGTGTCTCAGTATCTCTCCCATTTCTTCTTAAGTCAAATTTATTGAGCTATAATTTACATAAAATAAAATACAGTGCTGGTCATGGTAGCTCACGCCTGTAATCTCGGGCACTTTGGGAAGACCAGGCAGGCAGATCACTTGAGCCCAGGAGTTCAAGACCAGCCTGGGAAACATGGCAAAACCCAGTCTCCACAAAAAATACAAAAATTAGCCAGGCGTGGTGGCACACACATGTAGTCCCAGCTCCTCGGTTGGCTGAGGTGGGAGGAACACCTGAGCCTTGGAGGTCTCCTTGGGAAGTCAAGGCTACACTGAGCGATGATCATGCCACTGCACTTTAGCTTGGGTGACACAGCACGAAACCCTTTCTCAAAAATAAATAAAAATAAAAATAAATAAAATATGCCTATTTGAAGTGAATAATTAGATGAGTTTGAAGTGTATACATCCATTTAATCACCACTACAATCAAGGACTTTCTCAAGTCTCTATTCAGTTCCATTATTCTTTATATCTACATCAATACCACACTTTCTTAATTAGTATAGCTTTTAAGTCTTCAAAATAAGACAAATCCTTTAACTATGTTTTTCCTTTGAAAGATTATTTTAGTTATTCTAGGTCCTTTTTGTTTTCATATATATTTTAAAATAAGTTGGTTTATTTCCCCAAAATCTATCTGCAATTATAATAGGGTCTGAGTTCACTCTGTAGTTCAATTTGGGGTGAATTGGCATCTTAACAATATTATAGATTCTTCCAAGCAATGAACATGGATTTAGTCTACTTTAACTTCTCTCAGCAATAGTTTGTCAGTTTTCAGAGCTTAGGTATTGCACGTGTTTCGTTAAATTTATTTTCATGTATTTCAAGGTTTTGGTGCTATTTTAAAATAAATTATGTCTACATATGTATCTATGCTTTTGTTTTACAATTGTTCACTGGTAACAATTGACTTTTTTTTTTTTTTGAGACAAAGTCTTGCTTTGTTGCCCAGCCTGGAGTGCAATGGTGTGATCTCAGCTCACTGCAACCTCCACTTCCCGGGTTCAAGCAATTCTTCTGCCTCAGCCTCCCAGTTAGCTGGGATTACAGGCACGCACCACCACACCTGGCTAATTTCTGTATTTTTAGTAGAGAAGGGATTTCACTGTGTTTTCCAGGCTGGTCTCAATCTCCTGACCTCATGATCCACCCACCTCAGCCTCCCAAAGTGCTGGGATTACAGGTGTGAGCCACCATGCGTGGCACAATTGACTTCTTTGGTAGATTTACTTGTATTTTTTGATATTGCTAAATTTACTTGTTAATTTTGATACATTTTTATTTTTAATATCCCTTAGTATGTTCTATATACATGACCAATTTTTCTTATCATATTGTAGTTGCTGCAGTTCCAATACAAGGTTGAATGAAACAGGTAAGAATAGACCACGTTTATTATTATGAAAAGGTGTTGAATTTTTCGTATATGTTTTCTACAGTTAAGATGATAATGTAACTTTTGTTTTTGATTTGTTAATATGGTAAATTATATTGTTTGCCTTTGTTCATGTTTACTCAAACTTAAATTCCTGGGTTAAAGCCCTGTTGGTCACAATATGTTATTCTTTTTATATATTGCTAGATTTTTTTTTTTTTTGCAATGTTCTGTTAAAGACTTTTGTGTTTTAGTTAATGAAAGATGTTTGTTCGTCCTTTACTTTTTTGTGATATCTTTCCCTTATTTTGGTGTCAAGGTAATTCTGGCTTCATAAAATTAGCCGAGCAGTGTTTCTTCTCACTCTATTTGCTAAAAGGACTTGTGATATTTTGGTGTCAATTGGTACATTTTATCCTTAAATATTGAATTGACAGGTATAGTTCTCTGGACCTAGAGTGTTTTGTTTTCTTTGTGGGCAGGTTTTTTATTGTGATGTCAATATCCCTAATAGACATTTGACTATTTTCATTTCTTCTTGTACCAGTTTTATCTGTGTGTTATGGTTTATCTCCACCAAACTCATGTTGAAATTTGATCCCCAGTGGGGTGATGTTGAAAGGTGAGGCCTAAGGGGAGAGGTGTGGGTTCTGGGATTGGATCTTTTATCAGTGACTTGGTGATGTTCTCTCTGTAGTGAATGAGTCTTGCTCTCATGAGGCTGGATTCGTTCTCATAGGAATAGAGTAGTTCCTGAGAGACTGGGTTTTTAGAAAGCCAGGACGTCCCTCAGGTTTGCCTCCATTGGCATGTGTCTATGTCCCCTTTGACCTTCTTCACCATATTGCGAGGCAGTGCAAAAACCCTCACTGGAAGCCAGGGTCATGCCCTTGAACTTCTCAGCCTTCAGAACCTTGAGTTAAATAAACCTCTTTCTTTATAAATTACCCAGTCTCAGATGTTCTTTTATAGCAAGACAAAATAGACGAAGACAATGTGTGAATCCATTTCTCAATTCATAAGTGAATTGAGGTTATAATAATAATATACTCCTCATAAAGCTGTTGTGAAGATCACATGAGTTCATACATTATAAAAACTTAAAGGAGGATAGGGCATAGGGTAAACACACCCATGGGCAAATGTTAGCTATTAAAATACAACACTTATTATCACAGACTGAAGTGAGAGAAAGCTATACAGCATAGCTTATTATTCTAGTTAGATCCTGAGAGGTAATAAGTGTAACAAAAACAAGAAGCTATTTAAATCTGTTGAGCTTGTGATATGTCCCTGGCTCAACAACAAATTGGCTTTCTAATAATCCCAATGGAATGTCAATGAAAATTAAATTGTTAGAACCATTTTAAATAAATAAATTGAAAGTTTGAAAATCTGGAATATGTAGAAATTTAATATGCCCTTAATATTTCCTATTCTTAATTTAGAAAAATACGTATCGCCAAACCGTGGAGTTTCACACGTGATATTAGGACTGTGGACAAGGAATTATATACTAAATGCTAAAGAACAGTGTTTTTTAATGTACATTAAGAATGTTTTGGTTACTAACAGAAAAGCATATCAAAGTGACTTAAAAAGTGATGTAACACATTGGTGCGCATAACTAGAAGTTGAGTTCCTGTTGGCTCTAAAGTTGTTTAATCCAAACCTACATTGATTTCTTCAAATATCTAGTTTCTTTCTTTGTCTCCAATTTGTCATATTCATCTTAAAACTGGACCCTAACTCATTGATTCATCACTGAACAATTTTTCCTCCATTCCGTTTCACTGGGCCAGTGTAAGAAACTATGCTGTTCTTGAGCCAGTGACTATCAGCAAGTGAACATCATGCCCGAATTGGTTCAGGTCTGGGTTTATTAACCAATTACTTCCAAGTATGATGCTGTTACCATGATAGGCTTAGACTCAACAGGGTCTGCTGCCCAACATGAAATCATTTCCCTAAATTACACGGTACTTCGCAATGGAATAAAGGTGAAACGGATGCTGTGATATCACTTACGATATCCATCAATCTTACTATGGCAGACACTATTATTTCCCCCATATTCCCTTGTTTTCTTCTTTTTAAGTAAAAGGCTCTTCAGGTTTTTAGCCATATACATGGCCATTTCACATAGACACTCTATTTTCCAGTCTTCCAGTCTCATTTGCAGTAAGCTCTGGCCATATGGTTAATTTCTAGTCAAAAACATGTCATGTTCAACTTCCAAGGTATGTCCTTAAATAGGGAACATATTGTCCTCATTCTTCTCAGCTCCTGAAGTTTGAATACCAATTTAGTGGCTAAAGCTTGAGATACTATCTTGGAGTGTGTTGCTAATGGTGGAGCAACAAGGAGCCTAGTTCCTGATATCATGGAGCTCATATCTAGCCCTGGAACACTTAGCTGCAGACTTCATTTTCATCAGGGATAGAAATAAAGTTATATTTTAGTCTAGCAACTATTTACTTCAGGTGTTTTGGCATTCATGGAAAAGTCTCATCCTAACTTATACTTAATTATTTTACCAAATACTGTTGCCTACATTATATGATTGTGCTTTAAAAGTCTCATCGTTACAGTATACATTGATTAGGACCAGTATTTGAGAGTGTGCATCTCAAAGTTCTGTATCCATAGTTTAGTAACCACCTGTAGTTTTGTTAGCATGAAAACAACTTCTGACTCTCTTTATGCAAATACCTGTAGGCCATTATCTGCTAAATCTTTCTTAAATATGTGGTATATATTAGCCTACGTTTATTTGTCTATTAATACTTGCAAAAGCCACAGCAAAACATGATGTATATAAGTAGGATGATTTTTTGTTATCAAAACTGAATGATAGCTATAGGAAACCAGTGAGTACCATTAATTCACTCTGTTCAATTCTTTGCACTTACCTTCTTTCAGACTCGTTCATCAGTTTCACTTTAGTTTATCTCAGTTTCTATTTTTGGCACCTGTGAGATATGGATGCTTTTTGTTTGTTTGCTCACCTCTCCCCAACCCTCCCTACTCAGTCCCTCAGGAATACTGAGACTAGAGAAATTCATCTTCCCCTACCATGAAAACATTTTTCTGGGGCCTAACATACCTGATCTTTATCTTCCAAAGTTAGAAAATTCAGTTACTTTGGCGACAGCTTGGGAATGAGGTAGGTTCTCCAAGTTTAGCAGAGTAGAAAACTATCTAAAATAGTTTTGTTCAGGGTGTCCAGACATTTAATAAAACATTTTTTACCCACAGAAAATGTGGTCCCTTAGAGGAGAAGCAAGGTCCTGAGCCAAACTTTATAATGTACGTTCCTAGGAGGGAAAGCGAGGGAAATTCAGTCCACCGCTCTGCCTGCCTGCCTGCCTGCCTGCCTGCCTGAGGAGTTGCAGTGCAGAGTATCATTGCAGCGCTTTTCCAGGGAGTAACGTGCTGCACTGGTTCAGGGCTTTGTCTTTATTCACAACACATTCATGTGCCTCAGCATGGGGGCAGCTGCACTGTTGCCTGCCAGCCTGTCCTCTTTGACTGCCGAATGAACCAAAGGATAACTCTCCATTCGTGAGAGAGAGTGAGCTACAGAGGAAGAAAGACCACGCAAAAGGGAGGGGGAGAGAGGGGGGCGAAGAGGATGTTCTCCGGCTCACTCCTACATTAGGTCTCTGTGCAAAGGCAGAGGCTGTGGGAGCAGCATCAAGCAAGACTTCGGGCAGTGATTCTAACTATTGCCTATGAACACCGTGGCTGGGACGACTTTGACGAGGCAATTTATTACTTACGCATAGAACACTGGCTGTGCTGAAACTGGGAGCGCAAACAGCCCCTTGTTTTCTAATTTAGAGACTTGCATCTTTTCGACACTCAACAGTATCAAGACACTCTGCTACTACAGGTAAGACGCAGTTAAGATTTGTCTATTTGTGACATCATTACACTTTAACACACTTTAAACTATGAATACTTTTTTTATATTGTGCCTGGTCTATGTTGAACTGCCTTTTTCCCTTCATATTAGCCTCTCTTCAAGTAAATAATTTCACTAAGAAAAAACTGCTGTTAAATGAAGGAACCACTACTAAATCTTTGCTAAGAGGAATCTACATAATTGTATTTCCATGAGCTCTGAGTTCACAGTTGGGAACTTGAACTTAAACTGGGATCTGGGATGCATTTCATAATATATATATATATTTTTTTTTTCTAAATGTACTGAATTATTCACTATCATTTGGATAAGCCAAAATTATTCTCTTGCTACAGTGCTGTGCTGTGTATATGTTTAGTGGCTTTTTTTTTTTTTTTAAACCTCATAGTTTGGGGAAACTAATGATGAGGCACATAACTTGTGGAGTTTGATCACATCATTACCATGTGGTGTAATCTACTCAGTCAGAAAGATGTGCTGTTCTAGCCTTTACTGAGAAGGTGTTATCTTGTGTACATACATATATCATCAATAGGTAGCATGAACATGTGAAATATTTGTAAGACTAAGAGAAAATGCAAGGATGGTGATAATTCACATGCTGTATGATATCATTGAGTCTCGAGTTTGCTTTACATAAAAATTACAAAATTACCTTTGTTTTTATAACTGGTCTCCATCTTCACTTGTCAGTTTTTACAAAATAAAATTAGCTTTCAGGTGAGGTCACTCGGAGTTGTTGATATAGCTGGGAAAACTGTAATCACAGAAACATATTAATAATGTGTTGAATGTCTATAGAGATATAGGAGTAATATTATCAAGAGGCTTGTACAATTTTCCTCTGCTCTGTTTTGATAAGAGCATCTCATAGTATTAGTCACTTGTAACTTGGATTGATTCTGCTGTCCCATTCAGGGTCCCAATGACTTGGAAGTAAAATTACATTGTTGTCTGTGATCAAAGCTAAAAGCTAGGAAGATTTAATAATAAAGTCTTCTTTCCTTGACATTTTTGCTTAAATTTACCCGATCTAATATATATATTTTTCTATCCATGTGTGTCTGAGGTGTTCTTTCTATTAACCGTATTTTATATAAGAGCTGCTCCTATTTGAATTCCTACACCTGAACTATTTAATTGCTGATAATTGGGCATCATTAGATTGACCCTTGGATAGCTAATGGCTTTAACTTTGACATACAATAAAATATGTAGCATAAGATTAAAGCAGCTCCTAGCAGAGCACATGTTTAACAGTGAAGTATTGTGAAAATAGAACCATTTGCATTTAAAAATACATAATTCATTGGAAGACTTGTGATTCTTGTTCTTGTGCATGACTTATTTCATTTCCAATTTCACTTACAAAAGGTTTAAGTCCTTGGGGAATGTATGTAAAATATTCATTTGACTGAGGGTGTGAAAATTAAAGGAGGAATGAATTATTACTACAGTGACTTTTTTTTAGGAGTTTTTGAAAGTTAGTAACTGGCATGAATGTAAAAAATTAATTTGAGAGTCTCTCCTAGGGTACACCAAAAAAAAGCAAGAAAATGTTGATGTGAAATATATGTCAATATGCGAAATTACTCAGAAGATGAAAGGGAATGAAAATAGAAAAGAGAAGTTTTACAGTCTGTAAAAGGAAGAATATTTTCAGTAAACATAAACTCTATACTCTTTCTTTTATGACTGATAAGGAAACAAGGTATCAAGAATAGTATTTATCCAACATGAATGAAATCCCAGTGGCCACATATGAGGTGCAAAAATAAATGTTCTTTTTACTTAGTTAATAAATTTGAATATACAATTACTGAAATTGTATCTTGCATGAAATATTTATTGAAGTTATAAAGTTAGAAAAGTCACTGACAAACTATTTCAAAGTTTATTAATATTCATATTCTTTATTCATATGATTTATATGTTTTCCTTTCTTCCTAAGGAATGCGTATACTCAACACAATAGTATATGTGCTTTGTTTTGAAACTTTTCAACATTAGTTTTAAAATTACTTACTAAAAATCGTTCAGACCAGTCATCTCATTTCTCCAAAAAGAGACATATTCTAGATTTTCTTCTTGGATATACTACAAAAGCACTAACTTTATATTTATACACATTAAAGCAATATGCATTGTTTAATGATTTATAACATTCAGTATTATGTTTGTTTCTCCAAACTTTCTAGTTTTTCCAACTGTTAGAACTTTACAAATGTCTTATAAGAGTAAATTCATTATTACTATGATTTTCAGGGTCTTGGAGTTGTAAACTGTTTTAGACAGAACCTTTTAAAAATTATTGGAGTAGTCATCTCATTAATAACACTTTTAAGTATTTTTTCAACAATTACCTGATATATTTTGGCAAGAATATGTCCCTCCTCTCAATTTCTTTAGAATTTCAACTTTTCTACTAGAGAAAGTTTGGAAAACTTTTCTTTCAATGTCACTTTATGTTTGAACTAGATCAGAAGTTGTAAACTTATCTGGATCTTTAGTAATGTCAGATTAGATAATATAGTTATTGTAATACTCTTTTTGACATGGGGGAGTTTTCATGTGATGCAGAACGTATTAGCTAAGGTGGAATTTGGTTAAGTTAGTTTTGAGGCTTTGGATGATGTAACAAAAGTTAAAAACAAAATATTTCATTTCCTTGCTATCTGAGGGGATATAAACTCTGTCCTCTGCAAGCATACTGCATCAATTATTTATAATTTGTTGAAATAGATTTTGTTTTCATTGATGTGGTATTGGTCTACTGAAATGTTTCTTCTTGATTTTCAACAGGAATTTTATTTTTATATTTCTGGGGGTATTACGTGAGTCTTTCACTGGAATCACGAACAGTTCCTTTGAAAGTCTCAACAATGTAAAAAAAAGACTGTAATCTCCAGTCCTTTTTCATGATGATATTAATATTGAAGCATGAATAGAAATAGCTACAACTAAAAATTCTGAAATAACAAGCAAGAATAAGTAATGAGAGACCTCCAGCTAGTTTTCTGGCTCAGTTACTTCACTTAAATATCTTCTTAGACTGTGGTGTGGATCCTGGAAGTCAAAGCTTCTTGCTGATCTCAGTGACATAGAACTGGCAAGAAACAGCTTCCTCATGCTGCCTGTAGGCACCAGTCAACACTGACCCTTAGGAAGAATTTTTTGGACTGAAATAATTGTTGTATTTTAAGTTATCTACAAGTAAAATACAATAGCCTGTTCAAGTAAGTTAAGAATTATCATAATTGTAAAATGCTGATTGGCTGTTTTGAAGTCAGTTGCAGTATACATTTTAAAGGTCATATTTCAAAAGACTGAAATAGCCATAAACTTTGAAGGGCAAAACTATTTGATCTCTGTATTGTTTTTATGAAATAATTAATAATATTTCAATACACAATTATACAATCATCTTTAAAAATATAGTAATAGGTGTATCCTACTTCAAGGAGTGCTGGGATAGTAAAACCTGTTTATTCCATAAAATGCTAACTTGAAAAGTTTATTATTATCTTAAGACGTATTTTTCCCAGAAAGCTAGTCAAAGTGGTTTTTAAAGAACAACTTTATTGAAATGCATTAAATACCATTAATTTTACTAAAAACATTGATTCACAACTAGTTAGAAATCTAACCACCAGGCAAAGTGAGGTTTGTTTGCAACCACAATTACAGGAGTATATGTGTGAACTTACAAATGGAAACAATCCTAATTTTAAAACATAGCATCCATTCATTTACTTTCCTAAAACCATGTAAATGCAAAATGGCAACACCATCTTAGCTTATACATTAGTTCTAATGTGATTATAATAGTAGGATACATAACAGCAAAGGAACATGCTCATATGGAGAAAGGTTAAATTGTTAGTTTTGTACTGTATGAAAAGTCAGAGATTAAAGAGTCTTCCCTTATGTGAACTTTCTTTATTAGATTAAAGGGTTCCTGACATTTCAGAAAAGTTCTGTTCAAATTAGCTTCCAGTGTTTTTCTTTAATCTGCACAGGCAAATATTACATGCTTTAAGGTTGCTCTTAGAAGGTAACAGCTTCCAATTAATTAGTTTCTGCTGACAGATATATACATTGTAAATACAAACCATAGGGTTCCAATAAAGAAGTTAATTCAGTTCCTGCAAGAGAAGACTGGGATCTATATTCTCTTTTAAGTATTATTTTAAAAATACTAAACATTAGGCAATTATATAAAGAAGGCAAATTTCTACTTGTGATTAAAAGAGATTATATTAACACCTCAAAAGAGAGTATGTAATTTTCAATGTGTTTAATAAACACGAAGTATGAATTTAGGTACTTTCAAATTGATATTATCTCAAAGATTCTTTTTTTGCAATATAAATATTCATTAATTTTTCACAGGAAATATTATAAGTTGTCCTATAATTCAGTTTATTATTTTGTTCAAACAATAATCAGAATATTTAATTGTGTGAAGCAAGGGAAGGAAATATGGCAAGCTTTTTAGTAAAACTACTTCAGTCTAAAATAGCATTTTTACAGCCCTATTTGCTGCAATAAATTCTAAATCATATGTTAAGAATACATTTCTTATCATCTGGAGCACCTATAGAATGTCATCACCATATCTTCCCTTTAAAAACCCAGGTCTTCTAAATGATGTTTCAGTTCCAACTGAAAACATGTGGTGAGTCCAGATGTTCAAACGCAATCACTCCCCAAAGGCTTACAGTTACAGGTTGATTCAAGAATGGCTATGTATAAATACACACATCAGAACCCTAATTTAAAATTAGAACGCAGGCTGTGAAGTGCATAAAAATGGTAAGAAACCACAGTTGGCTGTGTAAATTCCTTGTTCAAATGAAAATGCATTCTCCGCCCCATCAATGTAGCACATCTGGTAGAGTCAATAAATTCTTACAAAAGTTTTAATATATATGTAAAAGGATAGATAATAGATATGACAATATTATGTGAATAAGAAATATGGTTTGCTTGGTAACCTTATTTTAAAGAAATTTTGAATGGTATCATTGGTCTGGTCTGGAAGTTTCAGGGTTCAAAGTGTTTAAAATGATTAATTCCTCTAGTAATTTACAGTGATTAAGGCATAATGAAACAAAAGGTGATTACAGGAATAATAACAATTGTTTTGATTTCTTAACAGTTAATTCAAACCTCAAACTAACAAGAACATCAGAAAGAGAACTTTTCCCTAAGGAAAGCAACACTTGCTAACTAAGGATATTTATGATTCTGTGCTGGCTAATTTATCCAGACAGATAAAACAAAAGCAAGTGGTACATGCTGGAACAGTGAAAACAGCAGACAGATTTATGAACCAGAGGCAACTCTTCTGGGACTCCTCCATAATTGAGTTCTTTAAAATCATGCATTTCATTGCTTCATATTTTCCTTTTTCTTTCAATCCTCCTTTTATAAGTCACATTTCCAAGAGTCTGAACAAGGGTAGGAAAACCCATCTTCAGCATTTTCTTACTTCAAAATTTATTATGCATGTTGTAATCAGATCTCCCAAACCACTCAATAACTTTCCCTCTAGTCATAATACTGTCACCAAGCCAAAACGGTAAGGTTGAAATAATCAAAAGAAACTCCCAGTATCAGTGAAGAATGCATGCTGTTTGTTTCTACCTGGATGGGAAAGAAAGTATTCTGGTTGCATGAGGGTCATGTCAAAAGAATCAAAATCTTACAGACTGAAAGAGTCCACGGATTCAAATCCATTTTAGTTCAATCTATGGGCCACTCTACTTGAACTATTGAGGGAATATCTTGCAAAGATGGGAACAAGTATAAACACATTTACCACATGTACCACAAAACTCCATACAAGGGTTAAAGTTGTGTGACTAACATAACAGATACAAAATAGTCTTCCTTATTGCTAGCATAATAAGTATTAGAGGTAGGGGGAGAAGAAGTCAAACATATTCAACTGCTCACTCCCACTTTCAAAACATTGGCATATATAGGCCCTTGATCAAAGTGTAATGAGAAAAATATTGCCTGATCAAAGGGAACTTTTGTAACTAATAATTATTCCTACTGTGTCTGATGTTACTGCTACCAATACTGATTGTTTAACCATATGCTACTCTAGACACTAGATAATACATGTTATCCAATTACAAAAACTGTGTGAAGTCAAAATTAGTATCCGTATTTAAAAATCAGTAAATAGACTTGTTTAGATTAAACATCCTGCTCAAGGGCTCACCTGACTTAAAAAAATCAGAGCCAGAATTGAAAGACAGTTCTATGTGTCTCCCAAATCCTATAACCACTGAGATGTAATATCTACTATTTTATTCTAGGAATCTGCATACTACTAAGTGGAAGTTAACAATGCACATAATACCCAGTAGAAAAACAAAAAGGAAGCAATCGTAGGAATATAAGATCTAAAGGGTATTAAAAATTTACAACTAAGTTAATCAACTTCAGTAATTAATCCTTGCTTCCAACTATGCTCATTTTCTTTTCTCTTTTTCTTGTCTATTTATTTGACAAGTTTGAAATATATATAGCCTTGTAAAAATGCTGAAACTGAACGGATAACAATTTTCCTTATCATTCCCAGAATTTATGAAGTGGTTATTTTCAACCAAATTGTCTAAATCATGGAAATGTCAAAATATCAGTGCATGTCCTGTCGTAAAAATGAAAATAGGTTCTCCTTGGGGCTTAGTGCCTCTAGCCAAAAACAAAGGATTTGCTTGCTATATTTAAGTCAGCCTGGTTCACTGGCCAAAGAGTTACTGTTCCCTCAAACATAAGCAAGATTTTAAAACTGGTGCCATCTGTGCAATGTATATTGCAACACTGTGTTTATCATATTTCTTCAGTTAGGGTCAAAGTAATTGAGTCAATGCCAATCATCTTCAACTTAAATATTCCCACTTGAATTTCTTTGGAAATCAAGAATGCTGATTATTATGTTATTATTAACCAAATCACTCCAATTCATTCTATAAGGTCACTTTTAAAATTATATAGAATTTACAGATATGTTAGACATTTAAACTACAATGTCCATCTGCTTAAAATTATATTTAAAATACACTTTTTTATGGTGGAATCTCTAAACACTTGCCTAATTAGTTCCCTGATTTAAATCTGACAATCTATAGTCCACTCTACATAAATAATGGAGGTCAAGCCTTACAAGCCTTCATTTCTCATAAACATTCCTCATTTCTTAGTCTAGAGTTGTGTGCATGTATTTTTTTTTTGGTTTAAATAAATATGTAGGTAAACAGATATATAAACAAATATGTCCATATAGAAACTCTAAGACTTACTGACTTACTCAGGGGGAGTCCAAAGGCCGTAATAGATATCTACATTTGACAAAATTCAAGGTTTGTCTACTTCTAGCAAAATTTAAAATAACAAAAGGAATTATAAGAGGGCACAAAGAAGATTTAATTTTTAAAATTAATTCTTAACTTTCTTAAATTTGCTGAAACTCCATTTAAAGTGAATAAGTACCTAGAACAGTATGAGACACATGCACTAAGTTTTTTTTAATCGTATCATACAACAGTTACTTGTGTATTTCAGGGCTTGCTACGATTTGGTTAGCAAATCCTTGTGCGTGTTTAGCTTTCTTTGCTCTTTTTTGGGAAGAAAGGTTATATGGTTCTGCTGTTCTTGATCATTATTATCAGAGTTTTTTGCTTGTAGAAGGTTTAAAGGGTTTTTAAGCTGTTTGAGTGAACAGCTACTTAACATCTACATTTTGCTTAACTAAACTAGATGGAGCACTATTACCTGCTAGTACTCGGTGCTGATATTAACGAGGTGACAGCATCCAAAGTTCTCAGTTGTCACTGTGTTAAGAAACAAGAACCAGTTAGTTACCTTTGGATTTCCTGCACTATTACTTTGGTTTAAGGCAATCGTGGAGATAAGCAGTTGGAGTTGCAGGTCACGCCTGGATTTATCAAATATTCAGATGAATTACAGAATGACGTTTGGCTAAGATTCATGAATGTACGTCAATCAACTGAGTGATGGCTTAAAATGTGGTTGAAAAATCAATTATAGAGCAATAAAGTAAAGCAGCTTCAGAATATAACTTAAAATATAAATAAATATCCGTGATTCCATACTGATATAAATAAATGCTTGAAAAAAGTAAATGGGAGAGTAGATGAATCTCCCATGCAAAAAAAAAAAATTGCAGATAATTCATGCAAATACACTGCTCTAACGAACATGGGGCATAATTCTCCACTCCTTCAGTGTTGGATGCTTTTACTGACTGCTTTCCATAGGCTTCACTATTAAAAAGGGGCAGGAGGAACAGGGGTTTTATAGTGGCAAAATCTGACAGATGTTACCTCACTCACGTGGTGACAATCAACATCAAAAGTGTATCCAATAAAAACAAATCTGGACTCCTCAGAGAAAGAGAAACTTTATTCAAAAAGACTATTGTAACAGGTAGATAGCTCTGATCTCAGAAATCTGCAAGTGTCTCAAAATTTAACAGTAAAAGGCTCTTCTTTAATAGAGTAAGAAGGGATAAGCAGTATATAAAAGCAAATTGTGTGCTATGAGCTGAATTGTGCCACCGTATTCACATCTTAAAATCCTCATCCCCGGGACAGTAGTCTCCCTTTAACTGTAGGGGATACATTCCAAGACCGACAGTAGATACTTTAAGTAGATACCAGATAGTACAAACCCTATATACATTCTGTATTTTCTACTCATGCATAACTGTGATCAAGTTTAATGTATAAATTAGGCACAATAAGAGATTTAGCAACAATAATATTAGAACAATCATAACATTGTACTGTAACAAAAGTTATGTGAATGTGGTCACTGTCTCTCTCAAAATATGTTATTGTGGGCCAGGTGTGGTGGCTCACACCTGTAATCCCAGCACTTTGGGAGGCCGAGGCGGGCAGATCACTTGAGGTCAGGAGTTCAAGACCAGCCTGGCCAAAGGTGAAACTCCATCTCTACTAAAAATATATAAATTATTTGGGTGCGGTGGCAGGCACCTGTAATCCCAGCTACTGGGGAGGCTGAGGCAGGAGAATTGCTTGAGCCCAGGAGATAGAGGTTGCAGTGAGCTGAGATCCTGCCACTGCACTGCAGCCTGGCCAACAGAGCGAGACTCTGTCTCAGAAAACAGCAACAACAACAACATATGTTATTGTGCTATACCCACTTATTTTTGGACCAAAGTTATCTTGGTAACTAGAACCCCATAAACTGAAACTGTGGATTAGGTGGGACTACAGTACCTGAGAATGTGACTGTATTTGGAGATAGGGCCTTTAAAGAGGTAATTAGGTTAAATGAAGGCGTAGGGCTGAGCCCTCATCCAATCTGACTGGCGTTCTTGTGAGAAGAGAAAATGTGGATGTAGAGAGATGCCAGGGATGCACGCATGCAAAGAAAAGACACGGTGAGGACAGCGAAAAGACAGCCACCTGCAAGCCAAGGAGAGAGACCTGACACCTTGATCTTGGACTTCTCCCCACCAGTACCGTGAGAAGATAAACTTTGTTGTTTAAGTCACCCAGTCTGTGGTGTTTTTGTTATGACAACCCTAGCAAACTAATACATTGGTCAAGCAGGGGAGAAGAGTGACCAGCATGGTAAGACAGGAAATGCCTCTTGCTGTAGTAAGTTGATTCTCAGGATAAACTGATAAGGGAGGCATGTTCTGCAATTAATGTTTGCCCAGGCTTGAAAGAAACAAAGTTCATGGATCTGTGGAGAGGAGAGATCTATGGTCTAGTCAAGGCCTAGGGTCTAGTCAAGGCAAAGCAGAGGATAAGAAATGGGCACTTGTGAACACTTGGTCAAGTGATTAGTCATGTGAGGAGTATGTACTCTTGACACAATGTGATGAGCATGGCACATTACCTGTGTGGTCCTCCTCCCCACAACCCATAACTTCTGTCTAATTATGGAAAAAAAATCAGAGAAGTCTCAGTTGAGGATATTCTACAAAACATCTGGTTAGCAGTCCTTAATACTGTCGGTCATCAAAATCAAGAGAAGTCTGAGAAACTGTCATAGTCAACAGACGCCTAAGGAGAGATGGCTAATAAATGAGATGTGGTATCCTGGGCGGGGTCCTCGAGTAGAACAAGGCCATTAGGTTAAAACTAAGGAATTCTGATGGATGTTAGCCGATGGTAATGTATCGATATTAGTCACAATTGATATTGTGACAAATGAACCACAGTAAAGTAAGATATTAGAAACAGGTGGAATTGGGTGTGGAGTATAGGGGAACTCTCTGTACTAGGTTCACAATGTTACTGTAAATCTAAATCTGTTCTCAAATTAAAAGTTGACTTTAAAATCCGTGACAACAAATAAAAACAGTTAATGAATTGCAACAATCGACTATTTCAAATAAGATAGCACAAAGCCGTCATTAAAAAGTTCAAATCAGCCTTGAAATACCACTGTGTGTAATTATAAAACATGATTTAATTGCCACTTTAGAGGATCCTGACTTTGGTGTAAGGTAAAGTATATCTGCGTTTTGAATTCTGTGAAATTAATACCAAACTTTATGAAAGTAATATTTATTTGGTTTATGCAAAGTGGCAATCAATGTGTAGAGATTACAATGCTAAATCATGTGCGTTTTCTTCTAGATCATTTTTTTCTCCCAAGTCTGCAAACTTAACTTCATTTTGCCTGAATGGGATCACTGACATCCAGGCCCTTCACAGATTCTTAGTAACTGTGGTTTTCAGGGCTTTTTATAAGAGTCCCTTGCTGACCTCAATGCTAAATCTCTCTCCATATTCACCTTCCAATTGCCTTATCTGTTACTCTAATTTAGAAAGTAATTATGCATTCTTCCTCTTCCTCTACATGTAACACTAAATGCAATCCATCTGATAAGTATCTCACCTTTTCCCTATGTAAAATTCCAGTACAAACAAGTACAAAGTCTATTCCATATAACTGCTTTTTTTTTTGTATTTCACTCAGGAAAAATAAAAGTTACTTTTTTTTTCTGCCTCTGGTAGTGTTCCCTACATGTGCAAAGAAATGAATGCTGACTTTTTTTCTAAGTGCCAGGAAGCATTTTCTCATTGCGGTGTTTCCATTGATCAAAATACTTTTATGAACCATTGTCAAGTCAAGCGATCTCCCACTTAAGAAATCATACTGCAAGGATACTGTAGAAAGAGCTTTTGTGCCTATAGACTTGAAAATTTTATCACAGTCTTCACTGGGCATTCGTATTTAATTCTGTCTTGCTTTGAATTAAAAAAAATCATTCTGCTTTCTTAAGGATAATCAAAAAGAAGCGGTAAAAAGAAGGCTGAGTAGGCAAAAGATAGTCGTTTGATTTTATTTGCTATTTATTTATCGTAGTTGATGCTTGGTTCATCATTAAAATGATCATTGAAATCTGATTGATTAAAAAAATCTCGCAAGAATAACAATGTTACTCTTCAGTACACTTTGTTTATTGTTCGGTTTCTGCTGGCAAGTTTGAATCATTACAGTTATAGAATTATATTTTATTAGGTTTAGTAATTAGCCTTTTGGAAAATGAATATTATATTTTAGTAGCTTGAAAATATGATCTGTATGTATGTATTGCATTTACAGTTTAATTAGGAAACTAATGAGATGTGATTGACAATCTGACTGGTGAGAAACTGGCACAATAAATTTCTATTAGAAGACTTGAGTTTTTTTCTTCCAGCTTTGTATTCATCTAACCTCAAAGTACAGGAATTATTATATCCAACACCTGCCATCCTGGCCTTTGGAAACCATACTGTTGGGAAAATACCAAACTAATTATAGCTCATATAAGGGAGAGGTGGCAGAATCAACTATTTGTGAGTTTACCTTAGAAGAGTAAACTATGGACAGATTGTGTGACTAATTAGATGAAAAAAACTAATAGAAAGTAAAACTTGATTGATGCATAGAGTAACATTGTTTATTTAGATGGGGTTCACATTTTTATAAATGTGTGTAGGGATATATAATATATAGATGTATATTTGTAATGTGTTACGCAGTATAGCTGGCGTGTGGAAGAGACACATTTCCAGTGTCATTAGTTTGCTTTGAAAATCAGAACCATTTGTCAACTTTCTAGGCAATTTACAAACTTGTTGATGTAATTATTCTCTGACACATATTATTTCTTTTAGTACCAGTGTACTTCTCATGATTTATAGTGAATTCATATTTAAGGCATTTTCCACACTTACCTTCCAACTGTCTGAGTCTCGTTCCCACGAACACCATAAATTCTAATGATAATCCTATCAAATGCAGAGCTTGAGATGACAGAGTGAATCACAACTTCCTTGGGTTGTTATAAATAAAACCAACATCCTATTGTTAGATTTCATTTTGGTATTATTCAGCCAAGTTCCATTATTTATTAAAAAATATATTTTAAATCTAGCAAATATATGGCTGTAAGGTAATTTTTTCATTTTCCTGCTGAAAGTCAGCAATCTTCTTTAGACAGTAAAGCCTGAATCAGAAATACGAGTAAATACATGAGTATTTACTTACTAATGCAATAAATAATGAAAAAAATAGTAATAAACACAGCTACAATATACTAGACATTGGGTTAAGTGGTTTAACATATTGTTTTCCATCCTCTTAATAATTCTGTGAGTTATTCTTGTCACCGCTTTAATAATTAAGGTTAGAGGCCCAGAAGTTTAATAATTTGCCCAAAGATACAAATATAATGAGTGCTGACCTTGGATTTGAACCTAGGTCAGCCTGACTCCAAAGTCATACCTTTTATTACTTTTCTGGGCTAAAAATTAATTCCCTGTGAATCAATAAAACTTTCCATGTGAAAGAAGGGAAACTAATGAAAAGGGTGTGGAAATTAATTTGAAGTTAAATTAAACTCATCATTAAAAAAAATGTTGATTCATAGTTTCTGCAATACATAATCCAATACTGTGATTATTCTATAATACGTTTTTTTCCCAAAATGAAAAAGGGGTACATTTCTCCTCTTAAAGTTGACATGGAAAATTTAAATATCATGTATTAGAAAAAAAGCAGTGGTCAATTTTTTCGATTAGACACTAAATTTTTTATATATATATGTGTGTGTATATATAATTTTTATATAATATATAATATATAAATTGTATACATTGTATATATTATATATAATTGTGTATATATATATATATATATATTAGTCGTACCAGTGGTGGAATTTTTTTGGATAGTGGTTGCTTTAGATCACTAGCTATTCAGGATGAGGCAGGCAGATTGGAAGAGGAAGTAGCAGAGAAGTTCAGTTAAAGGAAGACTGAACTAACTGAAGATCAATCTACAATGAAGACTAAGAGCTCTGAGTAGATAATGTAAATCAATATAAAATATGATTGGACTGGGAAAGGTGTGATTTTTCAAGCTACTTTTTAGGAAACTGTCTATATCCATGAATTTCTTTCTAAGAATTTTGCAGGTGGCATGTTCTTGAACTACTCTGTGCATCTTGCCAATTTAAATCCTACATGTCCCAAACGTCATGTTGTATAAACTTTCATAACAAGTTTTCGGGTCCAACAAACGTGAGCACCTGTTATATGCAAAGTAAAAATCCTTTGCACAATATAATAATTGACAATCATTTAGCACAGTGACTGTTAGCCCATGGTAAGTTACATTTATGCATCACCCAGTGTTGAGTAAATTATTGGAAATCTGAAAACAGATCATGTCAATACACTGGTGAGTGGTAAAATAGCCCAAATGCCAGATGTTACAGAGGCCCTTCCCTACCTAGTCTTGGTGGATGCATGAGCTTAAGTTGTATCTCAGCTATAGTTTGAAAGATGATAGCGCTAAAGCACCCTTCATCTCTAACCTTTGCCTGGTTCTCCAACAGAAATTCATTTCAGACCTAATAGCCATTATTCAAGACAAGAATCTCTCAAAAAAACTTTCAGAAAATAGGCTTGGAGTTCTGGGTTTGACTCACTGTTTAACAATCGGCAGGCTTCAGTTTCTTCCTTTTTAATATAGGATTAATAATTGGACTTACCTTATAATTTAAAGTGAGAATTGAATGGGAGTACGTGAAATACTTGCAGCACTCAGTGCCTTGAATATCAATGTCCACAAAACTTATTATTAGGCTGTCTTTGAATAGTGTGACTGGTTTTTAGTGTTTAATGGAACAGACTGATTGATTGATTAGGTCAATGATTCACAAAGAAATAAGATTATCTGACCCCTTAACATATAAGAAACACACACACTCATCTTATTTCGAATGTGAAATCTTAAAAGATATTAAATGAATTCAAATTCATGAGACCTCAATCTTTGACAAACCTTAGAAAACTGAGATCAGCTTATTCTTCATAAAATATGAAATATGAAATTCTTTCACATTTCAGTCTTTAATAGTATTGTAGAAGGCATTTTTCATGTTATTTAATCTGATTCTTGGAAAATTATATGATGTCCATAGTTCCCTTTTGGCGATAGTTAAGGCGTTGAGTGAAAAAGTAGGGATACATGAATATAACATGTCTATTCCAAATATCAGGATCGTAAAACCATGAGAACACTAAGCAACTAACGAAAAGATATGAAAAGCACATTTTCCTTCCATTTAAAGTCTGTTTGCATGCACTATGATTTTTATAACTCCAGAAAAAATGTACATGTTTCCATGTTTTCATGCTATTCAAAAGCTGAAAATCATAAAAGAATGGGAGTTAGATACACTCCTCTCTAGTAAGGCATCTTTATCAGGGGCAGATTATTGTTCTGGGTTCTGTCTATGGATGGACCAAGGATCCATATGCTGTTTTAAATTGTATGGATATTTGATGGATTTGTATACATGTATATTTTGTACTTTTCAGCTTTTACCATGTTTTGAGAGAGTATAACTTTAGCACTTAAGCATAACTGTTATAAAGAATCTTCCTACAATGTAAGTACTGAAAGTAATGGCAAAAACTGCAATTACGTTTGCACCAACCTAATAATTGAGATTGTTTGCCAAAATTCTTTCTCCTGTGATTTCATTTCTTCAGATCCATAATATCCTTCTATAATCCCTTTCAAATTCAAAACTTCTGGATCATTTCACTGTAAGTAATTCACAAATATCTCTCAAGTTTTCTCTCAAGCATCATCAAGGAGCTAAGCATTACTAACTGGAGCAGACCCAATTGTTCAAAAACTCGATAGCTCCTCTTGTTTTTCATACATGCATTCTTCATTGTTATTAATGAAAAAACTAAATGATTCATGGTAGTGTTTCTCACACACTTCTTAAAAGAGTTTCTCTTTCTTTAGTTGTGATGATTATTCATTTATCCCATAATAAAATGGGATGACGGCGTAAAGATGAAGTTTTATTAACAACACTGGAATTGCTTGAAGTAGATTCGTTATGCTGAAGGCCAAATTAAAACGAATTTACTTTTTCAGGTAGATGACTTTTTAAACAAAAGAAATACATATTTGTTACACATTTTTCTGAACAATTCAAGCTATACAGGGATTAAATATGGGTTAGAGCAGACAGAATGGGTTACCTGAATGAAATAGGGATTAGTTCAAATACTAGTCTGGATGTGCTGTATTAGTTGGCTCTTGCTCTTGCTAGTCACCCAAAACTTAGTGTCCTTTTTTCCCCTTACAATTGTATACATCGGTTGGTTGCTTCTGTGGATCTGCTTGTCATGGCTGAGAAACTTGGGCTTGCTCGTTTATCTGTGGTCACTTGGTCGATCAGTCAGAAGCTGACTGGTCTTGGATAATGTCAGCTGGGATGACTCTGTTCCGTCCCACACAGCTTCCCATCCTCTAGTAGGCTAACACAGACATGATCTTATGGCAATAGCAGGTATCCCAAAGAAATATAAATATGCAAGAGCTTTGTGAAACCTCTGCTGGCATCGGTTCTTTTTATGGCTCAATTGACTGGAGCAATTTACATGGTCAAACTAGTTTCAATGTGGAGAGCTCATTAATTGAAGTCATCAATGCAATTAAATTATACCAATCAAGTTAATGCTATTGCAACCACGTTAGCATTAGCAACAATATCAGAGAAATTGACCCACACTACAGATATTTATCTCTCTGCTGTCATAGTCACTCATGGATACCTGATGAAGGATGCATCTCAATTCAAGACAATACAAGTAACTGGCTTTTTTAATGATTGGAAACAAATTTCTCTCTGTGTGGTTAAATGGATTATGGTTTTTATATATATATATATAATATATATTTCATTGAACACTATGTAGCTATAAAAAGTAATTAGGAAGCAGTGTGCCGACATCCAAATATATGTTGGATATATATTTTTAGGAAGATGCATAAAAGGATGAATATGTTAGTACTGGCATAAGAACAAAGAGGAAAAAGAATATACAGACACACATGCATAGTATAGAGGCTTGTGCACAAGTCTCTGAGAATCTTAAGAGAAAAGAAGGAAAAATATTGATATAGATATAACTTGCAAGAAACCTATTAGAAAAAGAAGTCTTTTCAGAGAATATCTTTTTATGCTTTTTGAAGTTTGAACCACGTAGTATTATTGATAAATAAATACATTATTAAATAAATTATTAAAACAACAATAATCACAAAAAGTAAAAACAAAAAGGCATGTAGTATTACCAGGTATCTGTACTCTCTTACTGGTCTACCTCTTGCTGGTTATGAAAACTCAGTCAATTTTAATGAACTACATGAGCTAGGGTTTTTCTTTCCAGAAGTTAAGGATAGCAGTACCTCGCCCACATAATTGGTGTGCAATTTAAATGGGAGAATCCTTATAATGCACTTAACTGGTGTTTGACACATAGTAACTGCTTAATAAGATTTCAGTATATTTTTTCTGTCAGCACTATTTCATTATTTAATCATAGGAAACGTACTGCAAAGGAGCTAAGGTACAAGTCAAACTGGATTTCCACTGGAAATGTTTTGCTAGGTCATTTTGTCTTTCTCTGTTTTATTAATGTCTCACTTTTAATATAATCTTTGCTCTCTTTCTAGCCTCTTCCCATTTTTACATTACTGAAAGGTCAAAATCAACAATTAAAATATCAAATATACAGTAACCATGTTAATACCATACTAGAAGTCTCAGTTATTCCTTTCATACGTTGGTTGCGTGAAACAAATGAAATTACATCATTGATGAGAAACTTCTCCTCATAGAAAATCAGTAAGATGATGTGTAAGTTCCCCAGTGAAAAGAACTGTTTTTTTTTTTTAAATTTGTTTGTCTGTTTGTTTTAGGCCTTAGTGGTGTCAGATGTTGCAAATGTTAGATAATAATGTGATCTCCTTCACTGAAGAGACGTTCTTAAGTTTTTATTTAAGCAGACACATCGAGTTTTTATCTTAAAGCCAGTGCTTTGGGGATCTTGTTTAATTAATCTAGAGAAGGTTTTGTTTTTTGTGGTTGTTGTTTTGTTTTAAATAACAGAAATACCTACCTTTTCTCTCCACTCAAACAATTGAACATGGATTGAATACTATTGACATCAAGGAATTAATGTAATATCAGTGTGATATCCAAGAAAATATTTATATTTTTGGAGATACCAAATTTAAATACCAATTTATTTTTAGCTTTTCAAAGTTTTATGGGGAAAGGGCAAAAATTCCATGACTAGGATTTGCTTAAATTAATACTATTTCAACTCAACCACAAACAAAACAAAAAACATCAGAAAAATAAGTGTCTCCATCCATTGGGCTGCTATAAAGATACTATTATAGACTAGGTAGCTTATAAACAACAGAAATTTTTTTCTCACAGTTCTGAAGTCCAGAAAGTTCAAGATCAAGGCTCCAGTGGATTTGGTATCTGGTGAGGGTCGGTTTGCTGGCTCCCAAGTGACGCCTTCTCATGGTATCGTCATGTGGTGGAAGGGGCAAGGGAGCTCTCTGTGGTCTTTTATGGGGGCACTAATCCCAATCATAAAGGCTCTACCCTCATCATCTAATCACACTCCAAAGGCCCCACTTCCTAGTAATATGACCATGGGGGTCAACATTTCAACATATGAATATTAGACAGACTCAAACATTCAAACCGTAGTCATAGGTGTGCCAAATTATTGATATTTGTTGAATCCAGGTGACATATTTGTTACTTTGTAATTCTGAGATTATTTAAACATTGTCATAATATCTTGTGTTTTTTTTAATCTAGAAGAATTCTATACTCAGATTACTTCACAAGTATCATCCTCCCTTGACCTTCAAAAAACTCAACTCTGAAATTTTACCCAGTGTTTTAGGGATGTGATATGTACAAGAAAGCCATCTTTAGAGCACTTGTCATATAAGCCCACTGAAAGGAAAAGCTTGGTTCTACATTAGCCAGTTGGCAGAAGAGTGTACATTTATTTACTTCATGTTCAAGTAAAATAATTAAAAAAAAAACACAAGCTAAATTTTAGCTTTATTGAACTTATTTCAGTTTTTCAAAAATGCCTTTTCTTTGGCCTCTGTGCCTTTATACACCTTGTACTCTCTGCCAGAATATGCTGGATTTGACTGGGTCCTATCACAGCTTATTCACACATCCTTCATCAGAACTTCCCTAACTACACTTTCTATACCCAGAACACAAATGTCTCATATATTCGTTCGATAATGGCACTTATGTTTTATTATTACTACTCATTAAATCACCAGCACATCTTGTGCTTAACAAATATTTGTTGAATGGATGAATAAGTGAGTTAATGTAGAAATGAATACTTGCCTCTAATGTCTGAGAAATGCAAGGGGCAAGGTTGTATCTCTTTGTATTCCAATGTTCAATGCTTTCAAGAATACAGAATCATTTAAAAAATATCAGAGATCAAATCTTGACTTCTAAAACATAACTACACTCATCTAAAATCTGAACTAATCAACGAAGCAGCCACATCATAATGGAGTGCTATAGCTATGGTTAGAGCTGTATGCATAGTCTCTAGAGATCTTAAGACAAAAACGGAAAAATATTGATACGGATATCACTTGGAAGAAAGCTAGTAGAAAAGGAAGTCTTTTCAGAGAATATCTTTTTATGCTTTTTGAAGTTTGAACCACATAGTAGTATTATTGATAAATACATAAGTAAACAAATACTTATGGCTAAGAAACCAATGCTTTAGTTTTGTGCTTGAGCCTCAGTTCTCAAACTTTCTGAAGACTCAAGAAAGTCTTCCACATACAGATCTGCTATACTCACTCATACATCCTGGTCTCCAACATTTTTTTTTTTTCATGTTGAACTTCCATGTCCTACAAAGAACGTCTCTGGGTCAGACAGAATTAATTATTCTGGTTCTTCCTTTTTAGAGTAAACAATGAGAAAAAGGCAAATATGGAGGTAATTATCCAATACTTGCAGCTGAAGACATTTCAAGTACACTGTTATTTATCTTGTTAAGAGGAGAAGGAACATGGATATAAACAAGGAAAAGAATTTTATACTTTAAAAAACGACGAGAATGCCATGTGGAGTGTAAACTAAGAAACTTCAATAAATAACCAACAGTGCATATCTGTCAGGGGAGAATTCATTGCTTATTAATCACAAACTGGGTTTTATAATGGTGTATTACTTGTTTCAAAGTTCTGTTTTTCCAACCCCCAAGTTAGCAGTGTCTTTTCCTAATTAAATTGGATTTCTTCCAATATGCCTCAGAATAGTCACCAAGATTTATTCTTCTTCTTTTTTCCGTGTGGCAAGAGTAATATAAATAGCAGGTGTAAAGATTTTCCTTCAACCATCCTTAAAATTTTAACTGAAGGGTTCCTCCCTGTATTAATGTATTCCAGCCAGTTGACAAGATAATGCTCCACTGATGTTGTATATCTAATCTAACCTTTTGTCTTTGTCAGGAAAAGAAAGATTTTTCTTGGAGATAGCTGAGTGCAAAAGAATGCAGTTTGTCACTTTAATAGTAGGTCCGGGAGTTGTGGCATGGTTTGTGCTATATTTTGGCACAGGCACATGCCATTAAAAATGAAGTGGCTCCTTTATAAAGTAATAAGAACACAAACTAAATTTGTGTTCCTAAATATGAATGGAGAAAGCAAATAAAAGTTTGAATTCAAACAAAAAGTCCCAACTTGCAATGTTGTTAGGTTTTTCACAGTAGTTTGTTTGATTGGTTATTTTTCATTAGTCATGGGAAAAATTAAAACTATCCTGGAATTTTATGTCATCAATGGTAGAATCAGCTGTCATTTGTCCTTAAAAATGCTTGGCATGTTCCTCTGATTAGTAATAACTCTTAATATTCTAATCTTATTTCTTATTTTAATTGGAAATTCCCTAGTTATAAGTTCAGTTACAAGTTCAAGAAAATCACTTTTATTTTAATTTTTTTATGTCTCTGGAAAAACAGGGAATAACTGCCCTTTAAAACTGAATGAGAATTAGTAGGAAAAATCTCTACTCTTTAAAAAAAATTAATTTTGTCAAAGAACAAATACTAAAAGTTTATTATTTTTCAGAACTATATTTTCCCTCAATCCTGATTCCCCTTAACATAACTTCAAAATATTCTTTCTTAAAAAACTGTTGGGTATCATGCTCAGTACCTGGATGATGAAATAATCTGTACACCAAACCCTGAGTCACAAGTTTACCTATACAACAAACCCGCACACACACCCCTAAACCTGAAATAAAAGTTGAAATACTTAAAAAGAAAATCACAAGTTAGACAAAAAGTTAAACTCTTTAAATTATGATAAATATAGCATCTTAATAACTCTAATTATAAAAAACCAAAATATTATTCCATTTGTCTTATTTACTTATCAATTCTATAAAAGTAAAATGCTGTGTTTCATAAATGTAATGTTATTTGAACGGAGTTATCGGAATTTTAAAGTATTTTTCTTAAGTTGTTTAAGAGTACAGTTGAAATTGTATCTTTAAACTAGTGTATCATTTACTTTTACAGCAATTAGTCATTTTACAACTGTCATTGAAAATTAAGTCATGACCTATTTTTAACAAGCAGGAAAATCACCTGACGTGGCATCTATCTAGAAAAGGTCTACATAATTGTTAGGAACATAAATATATATCAATTACTCATAGTTATTCTCTATAGCATACCTAAGTAGGTAATAACACAAAGAATTCTAGTAATTCTAGCTTTGCGTTGTACTTGATTTTAAAATGATCGTTATTTTACCGTAACTTATTTCAGTGGTTAGACTCTCCCACTCCCTTTTCTTTTAATTTTATTGTCACAGATGCTAAAACTTAGAACTAAAAAAAAGATTTTATCATTCAAGAAAATAAATAAAAATTTCATTATTCTTTAAGTGATGTAATCATTTAAGAATATTTATAAACTGTTTTCTCCAATGAAAGCATTTTTTTTGCCAAAGTTAAACGTTTAGATGTTGTTATTAAAAATAAACCACCATCATTGAATCATGTGAAATAAGATTTATGAAAACATGATCTAAAGTCTGATTTCTATCATCATATAATCAGCTTTGGAACATAACGCATCTTGTAATGTGTTAAGTTCTAAAATATAAATATTAGGAATCTGTTTATAATCACCAAATTCCTGTGAACCTGGAATGGAAGAACTGCTCTGTTCATTTGAGTGTTCTCATTAAAACAAAATTATTCTTCTAACTATTAGAATACTATAAAATATAAAATATGCCACATTGACTTTCATTTCTTTGATACTTCAAATTATAATTTTAGGCTTATGTTCCTGAATATTTTTACTCTAAAATTGCTGCTCAGTTTTCCAGTTGTTGGCATCCTAGATAAATAGAACATTGCTCATGTGAATAGTAATTCCATGGTTATTATGGATATCAAAAGTTGATAAAGCAATACAGTCTTAGGAGATGGTAGAAACTTTATGAATCATCTAGGCAACTACTACTGTTAAAATGACCCACTTTAAAATATCCTCACTGGTCTGCCAGCCAAAACGCCCCAATACTTCAAGTGATAGGGCTCTGTGTCCTAAGGCAGCCCAGTATATCATTGCAGCTCAGGTTACTAGAAGTTTCTTTCTAATAACATGCAAATATCTTTCTCCTTGTGGTTTCCACGTAGTCATCCTCCCATATTCTCTTTTTACAGACCACTTCCTGCCTAATCCTTCATGTGTCAGGACTTCCTTCATGCCATCTCAGTCATTGTCCCCACCACTGTGACAAGGATGTGTAAGCTTCACCATTCTCCAGAAGGAGATATGGAAAAGCAGAGATGGTAAATTAATGGATCAAACCACACGGATGTGATTATACTCATCAGTTTAATTTCAAATCAAATCTTCTTTTCAAGACACTTGTATGCTTCCTTTTTCTTCTTTGAATAGTCTTGAGAAGTTCCCCCAAGTTTCTAGATTTAGGACTCAATGGGTTTTATGACATGATTTGGGTTTCCTTACCACCTTGGGCAAATTCCTCCAAGAATTTCTTTTGATCCTTTGCTCAAATTTTATCCTCTTCTTTCCTGCCTCCCTCCTTTTATACATCCCTCCAACCTGCCTATAGTATTAGTGGGGCACCAACTCTTTGCTAGGTACAGGGCATAACATAATGTATAACACTGACATGGCCCATGCCTTCATGGAGCTTACAGTCTAGTGAAGAAGGTAGACATGTCTAAAAAATTAATTGTTATAAAGCCAAGGAAGAAAACAAACCATGCACTAGGAAAAATAGGGACTGTTTACCCATTTGGATGAAGGAGATGTTAGGGAAGGCTTTCTTGAGTAAGTGACATTTCTTCACCCTTCAGCTTCAGTTTAAAATTTCAATGTCAGGGAATCCCTTCCTTAACATCTCACTTAAAAAAACTCTTCTAGGGTACTTTTTCCTAGCACTCCCTCCCATTGTCCTTATTTTCATGTTTATCCATGCCCCACATGAGTTAGATTGGGTTTAATGTATTGCTTATATTTATGGCAATCTCATCTCTGTGTCATAGCTCTGACAAAAATAAAGTGAAGGTAAATGTTTGCATTTGCTTCCACCACACAGTGCAAATTTCATGAAGACGTCATACTCTTCTTCATAAATGCACGTTTCAATGCAGCAAATAGTATGTGTTCAATAAATGCTTTCCTGAACTGAAATAATAATCACACTTAAGATCTTTCAAATCTATCGGAACAAACCATTTTTCATCTCATATTTGCCATCTTTCATTTTCTCTGTCAATACTTACCATTGGCTATAAGCCAGGTAGGGTAGTTGGCACCAACAAGATAACTGTAGTTCCTGCCACCATTGGACTTACTTATTCTGAGTCTAATACGCATATTCGATTCATATTAGAACTCCTCTATGAGCTAACAGCATTTGAGGATACAGTCCCATTTTCATCATATCATTGTATAATAACTGCTCAAAATACATTGATCAGTGTTTGACACTTCCCGATTGTATTAGCCCATTCTCATGCTCCTAATAAAGACATAACAGAGACTGGGTAATTTATAAAGAAAAAAGGTTTAATTGAGTCTCAGATCCACATGGCTGGGGAGGCCTCAGGAAACTTACAGTCATGGTAGAAGGCACCTCTTCACAGGGTGGCAGGAAGAGAATGAGTGCCAAGGAAAGGGGGGAGCCCCTTATGAAACCATCAGATCTCGTGAGAACTTACTATCATGAGAACAGCAGCATGGGGGTAACCACCTCCATGATTCAGTTACCTCCCACTGGCTCCCTCCCATGACATGTGGGGATTATGAGAACTACGATTCAAGATGAGATTTGGGTCGGAACACAGCCAAACCATTTCACTAATTTTGTCCTGGATTTCCTATAGGAACCTTCAATATAGAGCATGCATATAAATAGTGAGAGGAAAAAGCAGTAAGAGAAAGCAGAAAGAGTACATTTGAGGGTTATGAGAGAAATATATAGTGCATGTGCACACACACACACACATGGCTTTGGTCTCATTAAGTATTCCCTACCCCCAATGCATGTGCTAAACATAACTTTGGAAAATGAGTCAAGGATATTTCTAATGTGGGGTTTTAATCAATAGCCAATGTATCAATGAAGTGTCATAGTAGTCATTAGTAATATCAATCTCTCTGGCCTTGCTAAGCTTGGTATGCAAGGTCTGTATTTTGGTTTTATACATCAGGTAATTGTTCTATAATTTGTACATTCTGTGTAACAAACTGTTTCTTCCTTCTCATATCCCACTTTTAAAAGAAGTGACACATGTGTTACCATCAAAGATTTGAAACAAATAGTGCAGTAAGTTTTAAGTCATTTTTTCCTCTTTATAGCTCAATACTAGGGAGATATTAAAACTAGAGTGATAAGAGTACTAGGTGGTCTGGGAGAGCAAATGTGCCACCATGGAAGTATTTCATGAGAAGTGAAAATCTGATCTTTCATAGAGGAGATCATAGAGTTTCCATTCCATGTAAACCACATGTTCCTGTATTCACCCAGAACAGGTTCTTCCAGCAAATAATCATGTTTAATGGAAAAGCTAAATTATAAGCCTCTAAATTTCTAAATACGTATTAGGAAACACAAGATTTAAGTGAATTAACTGGATTCCCTAAAAGCAGAAAAATTAAATTTTCTAACAGAAGGTAATGCTTTTTGTTTGTTTTGTTTTGTCTTTTTCTTTCTTGGTATATTTGAGAACATTTCTCAAATGATCAGCTAAGTAAAAATGTCCAGGGAGGTTTCATGTGATAAATTGGTGAAAATTCATTGCTGCTGAATAGAGTTAATGAAAGATTTTCCGAGCAAGACACTATGGTAGAATCTAATATGTATAAATTAAATCTTCTACTTAGAAACATACTAATAAAAGCAATGAATTAAACATCAGGACCAAGAGATTTGGGCTTATTAATATAGTGTAACTCTATTTAGTAAACCCTAATTTGCTGAACACTGATGTTACCAGTAAAATTAATAAATAGAAAAAAGTGTATCCAGCAATATCCAGATGTATCATATATTAAACTTTAAAATTTAATGAAGATATCGTATAATATTAAAAGTTCGAGTAAAAGAAACTTGATAATTTTGAACAAGTTCCTGGTGTGATAGCTATCTGAACCATAAGAAAGCATATTACCAATGTTAAACTGCCAATCACGTTTTGCAGGTTTTAATCAGCAAGGATGAGTTCTCAGAAAGAAAAATATCTCATTTATCTCTCAAAATTTCCAAGTCATCTAGGGATACACCATGTACTGGTATTGAATACCAACAATGTAATGAACATTTTCACAATACATTGAAGATATGAGAGTAATAAAGATGTTTCTTTTTCTTTCTTTTTTTCTATTCAGTCATTATAGTAATTATTCTTACACTAGAGTTTTAATGAAATATGCAATGGAGTTTTGAATGCCTTTTAAATGTCAGGCATTGTTCTAGGTTCTGGGGATACAAAGGTGACTGAGACAGCCACGGTACCAGCCATTATGAAACAGGTACTTTAAAAGGAAAAAAATAAATACACAAAATCATAAGTAAGACAAAAAATAATTAAAAATGGTTTGGTGAAATATAAAATATGCATGGTGGAAGAGGACCTAGATCAGGTCACTTTTCTGTGACCTATAAGTATATACCAACATAGGAATACAAAATGCAAACTTGTTTATAATAGATTTGCTTACTCCTATTTAATTATGACTTAAGACCAATTGGGAGGCATTTCCATGTTTCTCCAAATCCAGTATTAATTCATCTAGACATAATGTTCACACATTATAAAACATTCCAAAAGACTAATTTTGGGGAAAACCTAAACCCAGAATAAATGTCCTTTTAGAAATCAATGCCTACGTTTTGTTTTCCAGAATGACTCCATTGGAATTTCTTTTCAGAAATCCACTTTGAAGCACTTTTTATTGTCTTTAATAAAATCATTTATCCGTTGGCATCTAAACAGACCAAGTGAGAAAATATTATCTCATTTACAAGATACACAAGTCAGAAAGGAGCTATGTTATTTTATTTGCTTTTTGTTCTTGTTAATATTATTATTAAAAAAGGGGATGACTTTAGTTTTAAAAATATTGAGTTTGGAATGAAAAAGGACCATTCAACATAGTCGAAAATGTGAGACAGGATAAAGCAAACAGAACCAGATAATGAGGGTAAAGTTGGAGATTTAATTTTGCAAGTTTCTGTCTCTCCCTACCACCCTATAGATATAGAAAACTTCATTTCTGTGGACATTGGTAACCATTGAGAAGAGTGTTCTGAGAATGGCAGGTGCCAGATTCCTGGGGAATTAGTCTGAATAAATTACAAGGAGAGGGAAATGGTCCACTGAAATCAGTTTCTAGAGAAGTCTCGTAGTAAACGGCACGAATACTATATGGGTTGTGCATAATAACTCAGTGTATTGCACCTGGTTTAGACATACATTTTTAAACATTTGTAACATCACTGATATTGGGATATACTGTAAAATTGATAATGTCTTAAAATTATAATATTTATTTTCTTAGCAAAGTATAAAATAAGAGTGGCTCTCATATTGATGGTCTTTTAGATTTGAATAATAATTGTTTTCTCCACGGTAAAGAAGAGTGAACTACTTGGGAAGTCTTGGGCAAGATAATTAACCTCCGAGTGCCTGAGAGTTTCTGTTTTTAGAATGGAAATAACGTAAAAGCAACTCATGCGGCTATGGTGGCCAAATAAGATAAATTATGTAAAAGTACTTTGTAAAATGCAAAGGGTTACAAATATGTAGGGATACAATCATCATCATTATTATTCTTTGGCTAAAGAGAACTTGCTCTTTGGCTAGAAAGCATAGTACATTCAAATAGGAAAGCCTGGATTGGATTGTTCTGAAGTTATATTAAGGCATCTATCAGCTACAATTCATCCTATAAGACACAACAGAATATAGGCACAAAGTGTAACATGCAAAATTTTATCAAAATATAAAGGTATGTATTGAGATTTTAATGTTAGCTTTTACATATAACCCACTGATAATAAAGCATACTAAGTTTGAAGATGCTTAGTCATTTGAATTATTTGATTGGACACAATTTTATTTCCTTTTTAATTTTCAAAGTTAAACTTTTTTTGTTATGTACTACTTCCTGCATATTTGCCTGTGTAATCAAATGAAAATTCCACTTTTTTCCCTATTTTCTTGCACTATCCAAGAAAGACAGCTATCACCTCAAACGTAGTCTTGTCACCTGTCAGAATCTCGTACTGCCTGAAGATGTAGTATAGGAGATAAAGAATCTGATTCCACAGTTTCCAGCATCAAAATGGACTGAATGATTGCAGGAACAAAAGGCAGAATTAAACAACCTTACCAGGAGACAGCTTTAGCTTGTGACCTTAGGCAATACATTTAATCTCTCTCATTCTCTATCTCTCTTAGACACTCAATCTGTAAAATAAGATTTATGATTTCTGCCAGCACATGTGGTTATGAAGCGACAATGCATCTATTTTATTGGTCAGAACAGAATCTCCATATATATTTGCAAAAAAGATTTAGGATTTGACTAAAATAAAACCACATGAAAATAAGTTGAATATTTGTTTATTTAACTGAGTTTTCAACAACAATGGACCTGTGATCTGTTGCATATCAAATAACGCCCCATAGACAGAGAAACTGAGGAAGAAATTGAGGCTGAGAACAGACCAAGTAAATGGATGAGAATATATCATGCTGGTAAATACCTTCCTCTGGTGATTGAGGCATATGTGAATAAATACAAGAAATACAGTGAATACTGAGTATATATAAGCTTAGAAAAATTAAAATGTGTTTTTCATTAGGGCCCTCATCTATTTGGAATTAAGGGACTTTTTTTATAATAGGAGGTGATTTCCTATTTTATGTCTGCTTGCTTGATCTTAAAATTTCAAAATACTTTTACATTAAACCTGATATTTTATAATTACTCCCACATCTGAAAAAAGCAAACGTGATACTATTTACAGGAAATTCCTAATAAACATTTCCTTTTGTGGTCATTTCCAATTCTCAGTGTTCCTTTCGCACCCATGACACTTTAGAGATTCCAATTGTTGCTAATAACAGGTGAAGGTCATTCAATTCCTCACTTATTGCCAGAAAAAGTATTTTACTGCTACTTTCACTGTGTAAGATTCCAGCATTCATCTCCTTATATTTCATAGAACAGTGAGAAATGTCAAATACAATAAATGGCGCAGTCTTTTAAAAGAATCCCCTTTTAAATGATAGGCATTTAAACACATTGATTGTAGAGTTCCTTGAAGGAAACTCTCTCTGTCTAGGGTCATTCTTGTCCAATTCTTCATGGATTTCTCTTTGCCAGAAGGCTTCCCTAAGCTATCAATTCCATTATGCCACTTTCTAGCTCAACAATCTTTCCATGTTACCTATATCTACATAAAATAAAGTCAAAATGTCTTTCTGTTTTAAGACCCACTGTTATCTCAAAAAACACTTTCTTCCCAAGGGCATCTTTCTTGACCCCTGAGAAATTAACCCAGGTTTCAGCCAGATTTGCGTGATCATAGAAAGAACAGCCATTTGAGAGGCCAAGTCAGGTGGATCACGAGGTTAAGAGATCGAGACTATCCTGGCCAACATGGTGAAACTCCATCTCTACTAAAAATACAAAAATTAGCCGGCCATGGTGGTGCACACCTGTAATCCCAGCTACTTGAGAGGCTGAGGCAGGAGAATTGCCTGAACCCAGGAGGCGGAGGTTACAGTGAGCCGTAATTGCGCCACTGCACTCCAACCTGGGCAACAGAGAGAGACTCTGTCTCAAGAAAGAAAAGCAGCCACTATTTTTGGAGCACTAATCTGTAATTACTCCCCACATAACCCTATAAAATTAAGTGTCTCCATTTTAAGATGAAGGAATTGAAGCTCAGAAAAAAGGAAGCAGTTTTTCTAGTTTTATGTAACTCTTAGTTGATAGAACCAAGAATTAAATCCAGATATAATAAATGTGTGTCTCCCTCTACCAGGCTAAGCACAGTCAAAGGAATACTGTGTGTCTCTGTCCATGCTTTATGCATGTGAAATGTTGATTTTCCTTAATGTCTACCACTCACCCAAGTCTTATGTTTCATTTTGATTTTAGTTAAACCATCCTCAGGTAGCCAAATGAGCCTTTCTGCCCCTAGTGGCCATTTCCTTTAGACCTTGTAGCACAAACTGACAATGCCACTCATAGGAAACCTCATCTAATCTTGTGATGTCTCTGGTTTTGTGATCTTTGCTTTTCATGGACATTACTTTCTGTTGGTTTTCCACTTTCCATTCACCCTATTTATGACATAAATACCATAATTTTTCTCCAAGGAATGAACCTCTACCTGACTTACATCTGTGTGTCAGAAGCACTCGATTTTATCTTGTTGTCTAGGTATGAAGATAGGGCTCAGACCAGTTCAATAAGAGCATACATTTCCCTGGGTACAATGATTTACTCAGGGATATATATGTGGCATAATTAAAGCCAAAAAAAGGTAATATGACTTTTATCTGTAGAGAGGGATTCTCTCTATTCTATTGGGACTCTGAGTGTAGAAGTAATGTGAGCTTGGAACCCTCCTAGATCCCATGGCTATCAGACCCTGATTTCGTTGGGCACCAGATATCGGGGGAACCAGCCCCCAATATTTCAACGTAGGTCCTTTCTATTTTCCCTAAGTGTCGGCCGGTCTGAGAAATAAAGAGAAAGAATACAAAGAGAGAAATTTTACAGCTGGGCCTCCGGGGGTGACATCACATATCGGCAGGTTCCGTGATGCCCCTTGAGCCGCAAAACCAGCAAGTTTTTATTAGGGATTTCAAAAGGGGACGGGGGTACAAACAGGGAGTAAGTCACAAAGATCACATGCTTGAAAGGGCAATAAAAGATCACAAGGGCAGAGAGTCAGAGCAAGATCACAAGGCCAGGGCGAAATTAGAATTACTGATGAGGTTCCATGTCCCACGGGGCACGCATTTTCATTGATAAACATCTTAACAGGAAACAGGGTTTGAGAGCAGACAATCAGTCTGACTAGAATTCGCCAGCCTGGAATTTCCTAATCCTAGCAACCCTGAGGGCACTGCAGGAGATGAGAGTGTATTTCATCCCTTATCTTCAAACACATAAGGCAGACACTCCCAGAGCAGCCATCCATAGACCTCCCCTGGGAATGCATTCCTTCCCCAGGGTTATTCCTTGCTGGAAAAAGAATTGAGTGATATTTCTCCTATTCATTTTCTGCAAGAAGAGAAATATGACTCTGTTCTGCCCGGCCCCACAGGCAGTCAGACCTTATGGTTATCTCCCTTGTTCCCTGAAAATCACTGTTACCCTGTTCTTTTTTAGGATGCCCAGATTTCATATTGTTCAAACACACATATTCTACAAACAATTTGTGCAGTTAACGCAATCATCACAGGGTCCTGAGGCGACATACATCCTTAACTTACGAAGATGACAGATTAAGAGATTAAAAACAGGCATAGGAAATTATAAGAATATTGATTGGGGAAGTGATAAATGTCCATGAAATCGTCACAATTTATGTTCAGAGATTGCAGTAAAGACAGGCTTAAGAAATTATGAAAGTATTAATTTGGGGAACTAATAAATGTGCATGAAATCTTCACAATTTATGTTCTTCTGCTGTGGCTTCAGCCAGTCCCTCCCTTCGGGATCCCTGACTTCCTGCAACACATGGCTGAGATTGGAAATAACGCAGCAGAATACAGAACTGGAATGTAGAAGGAAACTAATCCTAGTAACATAGTTTCAGCCCTTGGGTCAAGCTTCACTTTTCAGTTATGTGCCAACAAATTCCTTGTTTTTTTAAGACTAGTTCATGTTGGGTTTTATGAGAGCCTAGACCAGGGAATGGCAAATTGAATAGTTGTGATGAAGACCATCTGGCTTGCAAAGCCTAAAAGACTTACTATCATCTGGCCCTTTTTGGAAAAAAGTTACTGACTCTTGATGATCACCTCATGAATTTATGTATATAGTTAACTATATATATATTTTGGGAAAAGAAAACCAAATATATATATTTATATATGTATTTATATATAAATATGTATATTTATCTATGTATTTATATATAAATATGTACATTTATCTATGTATTTATATATAAATATATATATTTATATATGTATTTATATATCAATATATATATTTATATATGTATTTATATATCAATATATATATTTATATATCAATATATGTATTTATATATGTATTTATATATATTTATATATGTATTTATATATAAATATATAAATACGTATTTATATATGTATTTATATAAATACGTATTTATATATGTATTTATATAAATACGTATTTATATATGTATTTATATAAATACGTATTTATATATGTATTTCTATAAATATGTATTTATATATGTATTTCTATATAAATATGTATTTATATAAGTATTTCTATATAAATATATATTTATATATGTATTTCTATATAAATATATATGTATATATGTATTTATATATGTATTTCTATATATATGTATATATGTATTTCTATATAAATATATATTTATATATGTATTTATATATAAATACATATTTATATATACGTATACGTATATATGTATGTATATATACATGTATACGTATACGTATATATGTATGTATATATACATGTATACGTATACGTATATATGTATGTGTGTATATACATGTGTATGTATATATGTATGTGTGTATATACATGTGTATGTATATATGTATGTGTATATATACATGTGTATGTATATATGTATGTGTATATATACATGTGTATGTATTTATCAATACATATATATTTATATATGTATTTATCAATACATATATATTTATATATGTATTTATATATACATATATATTTATATATGTATTTATATATACATATATAAATATATGTATATATAAATATATATATTTATATATGAAATATATATATTTATATATGTATTTATATATAAATATATATGTATTTATATATAAATATATATGCATTTATATATAAATATATATGTATTCATATATAAATATATTATATATATTATGTTTATATATAAAAATATATATATTTATATATATAAATATATATTTTTATATTATATATATTTTTATATTATATATAAATATATTTATACATATATTTATATATAACATTTTATATATTTATATATTTATATGTAACATTTTATATATAAATATATTTATTTATATATATTTATATATAATATATATTATATATTATTTATAGAATATATATTATACATTATTTATAGAATATATATTATATATTAGTTATATAATATATAATATATATTATTTATATAATATGTAATATATATTATTTATATAATATATATTATTTATATAATATTTATTATATATTATTTATATAATATGTATGATTTATATAATATTTAATATATATTATTTATATAATATATAAATATATATAAATTATATATATTTATATATTTATATATATTTGGTTTTCTTTTCCTAAACAAACTTTTAAAAGATCCCTTAAACACTGTCTTTAAGACAGGAATCAATTTGGGCATCCACCATGATGTTTTACCCCATTCCCATCCTAATCATAATGCTTGGAATTGTTAATAAAAATTAAATGAATTCAATACATATGTATAAACCTTTGCTTTGCAGTGTTATCTGCATACAGAGGCCAGTCTATGAACTCTTTGTAAGTATAGAGTAAGTATAGAATTAAGACAAAGCATTTAGAAAGTTTAATAGCAATTTAATCTTGTTTTGTCTTCAAGTGTATGATCATTTTCTTCCTACTAATTAATTTTATTGCATTTTACAAAAGTATTATTCTGCAATAGAATGGGGAAAATATGTAATTTTTCAACATAGTTTGAGAATCTCTCTGTTCCGTTCATGAACTCTATGCTTGAGTATGTGTGTGTGTATATATATATATGTAAATATATGTGTATTTGTATGTGTATATATATGTATATATACGTGTGCATGTGGATAGATAGATAGGTATTCTTCCCTAGGTTCTGAATTTATTAAGGATAGGATTATATTTATCTTTGGAGTTTTAAAGTTTTAAAGAAGTATATTTTCTTGATCTGTGATAGTCTTCTAAACATCAACATCAAACTACATGCAAACTTAGTAGGCATTGTATTCTTATTTACTAAAGTGAATAAAATTACAAAGTAATGTCAAACTGGAGGGAAAGGACTGTGCCTATGTTGTCCTCTTTATTTGGTACACTATTACAAATGGATCTTTGCCTTCCAACACAAGAGGTCCAATTTCTTTTAGGGATTCATTCCTTCTTAAAATAGCCTCACTGTTCACTTGAAGATCTACGGCTACCCTCACTGATTCACATGGTTTGAGTGGGGCATTATTATCTGTGTCAGGACCATGACCACCAGCATATTAAATTTCCTTCTCCACAGTGTTTGGTTCAGGTATGGGCTAGTGAATAAGACCTGTGAATTAGAGCTTCTGCTGGGATTGCTTGGACTAAGAATCTGAATTTTTTTAAGTGTTGGATTTGTTGTGTATTTTCTGTGGTACTTGTTGAATCCCACATGATATGTCCCCAGGAGATGCAGGTGATCTTCCTGTGACCATGAAGGGAGAGACCAAGGGAATGAGAGAAACACATGGAGGTGAAAAGAGTTTAGCCAGGAGAGAGTCTGGATCCTGGCAACAATGTCTAAAGCCCCTGAATAAAGCTCCACCTGAAGCCATCCCAGCCACTGTGCTTTCTAAATACACGAGGCAATAAATCCTATTTATGTGTTTCTTTATCCTCCTTCACCAGTTTCTATTGTGTTTTGTAATGCTATCAGGGGAGAAGGCCCTGATACAGATACATAGTGTCATATCACATTCAAACTAGCATTTCCCTGTAATTAACTACTTCTACCAAAAGAAAATTTCAGTAAGAACTTTGGACTTCAGTCCTTTTCATTTTATTGAGCTGTTAAAAATGAAAGGGTAGAAGTTTCATCTCAGAAAGGAAACTTATATGTAAAAAGTTTTTATAAAACAAAATGTGTTAGTGATTAATGTGATCAACACTAGAAGAACAAAATGTCTGAAAAGACCTCAGACAAATGAACACTATCTTAAGTGCTTCTTTTGCTTCTTCTGATCCAGCCACATCTAATTTTGAGAAAAACACTATGGTTAATCTTCTCAATTTTCTGACTTAACTCTTAATCTTGAAAATTCACATTAATGGGTAAAATTAATGGCAAGCTATTCTAATTAATTTGGATTGATATTCCATAGACAGAGCTTTAAAGGAACGAAGATTTCTCATTGTAATGATCACAAGCGAACATTTACCAAACCCAATTTTATACTAGCTTATAAACTCTTTCTGTACTTATTTGTTTGCTATTAAAACACTGATGTACATGTATTCATAACTGCTTATGGTGCTAAGCACTCTTTTAAGTGTTCTAAGTAGTTACACAGTATTCATTTACCTATACATCTTTTCGTGTATAGACACATCTCATTTAATTCTAATAACAGTCCACAAACTGGGTACATTTATTAGACCTATATCGTAGAGGTGGAAACTAAGGCAAAGAAAAATTAAATAACGAGTAAAATTTTAAGCCCTGTGCCTTTTTACCACGTTTATATTATGGATTTTTTCTTAAGAACCTTATCTTGCCTGCAGCATTTGTATGATATGAATGACACATTTTACTTTGTTAGAAGTAAGTATAGTCAAATTGGTTTTTTTTTTTTTGCAGGATCAATCCCTTTCTTCCCATCAGGCTGTGTAATTCTACACAACTTAAGAGGGTTACCTTTTCTGATTTCCTCACCAAATTTAATTTACAGTTACTAGAAGACAGCAAGTCAGTCATGAATATTGTTGTATTCGACATCGTTGGGCTGGATAAGTAGCAGGTATTCAGCAAGTATTTAGAGCTTAATTGGGAATTTCATGGCTTGTTTGGGTGTTTTCAATATATATATATAATATATTATATATATTCAATATTATATATTGAATATATAATTGAATATATAATTGAATATTGAATTTTTAATTTTTATTTTGGTAATATGTAAATAATGAAGTTGCATTTGATTCCGAAATAGGGCGAGTAAGGACACCTAAAGGTCAATACAGCTAGCTTTTAGGAATAATAAGTTTCTAATAGCAAACTCTCAAGTCAGAGTACTTTCTGCAAACGCAAGGAAATCTGTTCAGTTGAAAAAGTCCCCAAGTGCTTGACAAATGAGTTCTAAGAGTCCCTTGGAAGGTATTGCACAATTATTTGGCTGCTGACATTAAAGATGTGTGTGCATTTGTGTATTAAGGACCACACACACAAAAGATAGCTATTGTTATATTTCTTTTTTTTCCTGTGCCCCCAGGGTATTCATAGATGCATAGAACCAAAACACTATCATCCCATACCATAATAATCAATGCAAGCAATTCAGTGTCTCTGATGTTGACAAATTGGCTCTACAAAATAGCCCTGTCAGCAAATTTACCTTCAAACAGGGTGGATGATATGGACTGAGTCTCCTACAGAAATTGGCCCAGTGCCCACAAAGAAAATTGGCAATCTTTACTAACAATTTCTAACTATACAGTGGTTTGGGACTTAATATTGTAATTGCACTCTAAGCCTCAATTTATTTCGAATATGATCCTCAGAAAGGTTGAAATCCTCATCTTACAGGTGTTTATATATTCATCTCAAAGCAAAATTGTTAACTCAGCATTATGGCTTAGAATGTAAATCTGCAATAGCCAGAAAACTCAACATCATTGCCCTCAGAGCAATTATAACTTCACCTCTTGCCCCTAAATGGCTTTTTATTTTATTAGATATAATCTAAGCTGGTCTTTTCTCAACATTTACATAAAATAAATTTCTTCAAATAAAAAAATGTGGCCTATGTTTAATTTTTTTTCATAAGTAATTGCTAAAACTCGGTTGGCCAACAAGTTTTTAAGCCATATATTTCATGAGGAAAGTATAAGGGGATTTTAAAGTTATAAAATCTGTCTTGAGGAAAGAAGGATGAAGTAGAAGAAAAAGTGGTACCAAATGCATTTTTTACTAGCCCTTAAAATGATTAAGTAACACTCCCATTACTCTACTCTCATAGACACTAGTAGAATCACTCCTGTTTCCAAAAATGTATATTTAGTGTATGTAAAGACAGCCTAAAATGTTTGGTTTTACAAATGGTGTGTGTGTGTGTGTGTGTGTGTGTGTGTGTGTGTATGCATATACATATCGAGAGACTAAGAGATTATTTCATTGCTCTCTAAGAATATTCTATAAGTCAGAAATCACACTTCTGAATTTTCTGAGTTAACATATAGCATCTATCCATCATAGTGTTAGGTACTCCTAAAGTCTTCACACAGTTAAGATATCTTATTTTTAATGGAACTTGTGTGCACGGCTCTACAGTTTTTCATATTTTGAAGGGGGGGAAATGGGAGATGCTCCAGTGAAATAATTTAGAAATGAGTATTGCTACTTGGATTTTTCTGTTTTAAAAACATACTGTATAGAATAAATTAATTGTATGAATTCTCTCTCGGGAGAAAACATCAAATAGCCTTAACTCTGAAGAACACAATAAAGTTTGTGATTAAGTATATCTGTGATCATCTTGTCCAGAAAAGCCATAGACTTTTCAGATAAAAGCGATTACTCATGGAGTAAGACTTGTAATGTTTTTTTTTCTTAAAGAATGCAGGTGGTAGAATCATACTAATTGCCTAGAGAGTTACAGTTTTTGAAAATGAAATTGTACTCTCATCAGGCATTATACATATTGAACAAGAAAGGCCAAACTGGATATACTCTTTTGAAAATTGCTGTATAAACTCTACTAGACATTAGAGTTTAGCTGATACATGCTAAGAGTAGTATTTTGCATAAATATTCCACAATATTGAATGTGTTTTTCCTGCCTGTAATTAGAGCTCTGATTTACTGATAGAAATACTAACTATGGGATAACAATTAGAATGCATGCCTCATAATTGCCGGAATGTAAATCGAGTCTCTTGATTTAAAAGAAAATTAAATAAATACACAAGCACACATACACACACACTTTCTTGAAAGAAAGCACAAAATATTTTAAGGTAAAATATTAGCTATAAGCATATAACCTTTACAATTTCATTTGAATGAATGTGAATTAATTTAAGTTTTATATCTGTATATCCAACTACTAGACATAACTTTAGGACAAGCAAACTATATGAAACCCAGATATTATGTACAAAATTCATGGATGTTTTTGTTTTCATAATGTAAGCCAGAAAAGACCAGGTTGATCAGTCCTCCCTGCTTTATACAATGAAGTATTTTAACTTCGGCTAACATTTGAATACATTTGTGAGCCTCACAGGAGGTACGTTTCTTCTACTAAAGCATTTGAGCAAGTTTCAGATTTTCACCCTGGCATGTACTTGACATGTTTTTCCTTTTGGGGCACAGAATGAGCAAACCTAAGAAAAAATTTCTAAGTTAGGCCAATTATAATTTCCTTCAAAGCAAACGGGCATTAATTATTCAGTGGCTTAACATCTAGTCATTTCTGAGAAAAGCAAGATGTGGTGTCAAAGTGCTTTGTGCCCTTGGTCCATGCTGTATTTTCTATGTATCCCCAAAGTAATCCTCATAGGGACAGGAAACCAGAAACTATATTTGATATACTTTATAAGGCTATAAGTAATGAATTTGAAGGTTGCTGTGATTTCCTTATTTGGAAACCCATCTTTCTGAAATGACAGTAAATTAATTTTAGAATTAAACTACCCACTCTAAGTATTGAGAACTTCAAATGTTCAACTTCTTCACCTTGCAAATGCCAAGTTATTCCTCATATTTACATTATCATCATTGTTTAATTTTATAACTGTATTCTTCTTTTAATTGTTTTCAATAATGGCTACCTCTACCAAATATCCTCATTAATAATTAAGTTATGTAGGACTTTACAGTTTATAGGGTGTGAAATTAGATCAGTTTCATCTACATAAAATTAGAACAATTTAGAAAGTACTCTAAAATATATGTGAATGAAAAATTACCCAAATTTCTACCACTAGGCGTGTCATCATTTTTAAATGTTTTCTATTTATCACTGCATTGATCTTTTGATTACCCTAACAAGCAGTTATGAAAAGCAAATTTATCTCAAGTTGGTAAGTGATAACATGAGATGTACAAGATGGTCAAGAACTGTTTAGTTATCAATTTGGTTAAAAAAGAAAAAAAAGTGACTTTTTGGTCTAAATTGTATTTGAGACAGGGCCAGTAGCTTCATTTTGATCAGGTAGATATTCTGTTTTTGAAGGTTAGATGCTACTGGATGTAATATGTTGCTTTTTGTCACAATAATGAAGACTTTGAATGAAGAAAACAATGATATATCTGAAAAGTTGTATATAATTTGTAAAACTACAGTTTTAAATCAAATTATCTGATCTGGCAAAGTGGAGGAGCAGGTAGAGGAGAAATAGAGGAGGGATAAAAAAAGGAGAAGGAGAAATGAAAGAATAATATTGGCCAAATAATGATTCTTGAATATTCCATATACTACATTTGACTCATATAGGGTTATTCAAGTCATGTTTAAACCTTTCTGGAATATATTTTGCTATTATGCCCCAGGAGATTATATGACTCCTGTGACATAATTCCGGTGAACTTTAAGAATGAGAGCCCTGGAAGTCTCTAAATGATGACTCATTGAAATGTAATGAGATAATGTTGTCTTATGACTAACCTGAAAGTACTTTTGCAACATGTAAAGTGTCAAAATCCATTAGAATATTGAAAGAGGGAGAAAAAATACAAGTAGGTTCTTTCTGTATACTTTAGTCAGTGTTGAGAATGAGAATAATAATTTTTAAAAGGGCAGCAGATTTACTTAAAACTTAAAAGTAACTACTGAAATACCGCTTTGGGTGTCCCACACCCTAGTCACAAATTAATTTCAGTCCTCAAATATAGCCAAATTGCCAACATGTCAGTTAACACAATATAACCTGTCATGTTGCCCACTGGGATGAGGAGTGATAGAGCTGGAGCCCACGGTGGCTGAACCTCATCATGCTTTGCCAGAAGAAAACAATGAACTTCTCAACCTCAGAGACACAAATGCTCTTTTTGATTTAATTCCAAATCAGCTAAGCTCTTTGGCATTAAATAAACCTTTTCACAGGCATTCTGTAACAACAATCATTTCCCAGGTTTGTTGTAATCATAATTCTCCACAAGACCTCAGCAAGCTTAAAAAGTATTTTCACATCTTTGCTGGAGGAATAGGCTTTTCTGTGTATTCATTCTGGGGAAGAGCATACCTGCACTTGTACTCAGTTTTGTATTTGAAAGTTGTAAAGATGGGCCTATTTTTTTTTTCCTTTTCTTCTTCTTCTTCAAAACATTCATAATGCTCATCTTTCTTTCCACAATTTGAAGAATACAATTGCTTTATTTCTAAAGCTCCTCTCTAAACAAATCCAAATTGTGGGATTCTAGAATTTAAACACCTTTTATATATTTGGGAAATATGCAAATGAAGGATTGGTGGGCTTGCATTACTATAGAAGTGAAATAAAGTCACCAGCCATGAAAATACAAGATAAAATGTACAACAAAGGGAAGCAGTGGCAGGGCAACAGAGAGAGAAGCCGAGGGAGATTGTGATTATTTACCCTGGCAGAGAGGACAGAACCACAAATAATGGGATGGAATGCTAAAATGAGAGAGGGAGAAAGAATCCTGATAGAATGTGGGTAAAAAATGTTCTGACAGAGAGAATTGGATTCAGAAGTACTGTCCTAAGGGAGATGGTGGAAAATCCATTACTCAGTACATGAGTAATGGGACAGGACCCAGTCCTGGAGACTGTGTTGTAGATAGTGATTCTGTATCAGCTCCCTGGGGAATGGACTAGAGGGTTTTGGAGCTAGCTTATTTCCGTCATTATTTTTGACCAGTTCCAAATAGCTTGACCATTTTTGAGTATATGTGCCTAGAAAAAATGAAGCTTACTGAAATTTCTGATAAAAGCAAAAAGAGAGGGTTATATTCCTTGCTTTTACCATTGGTAAAACTGATTGGTGGGCCTAGGGACTATTATCAGGAGGAGGCAAGTAGGACACAATAATGACCTGAGTCCCAGTGGACTCAATGCCAGTACCCTGGCATCTAGGATCTTCCTCAGGTGACTCCGACGAGTTTGCCTCTGCTTGGAAGGAAGTCATCTCTCAAACCAATACTGGCTTTTTCAGTTGGCTCAGGTTGCCCTGTATATTAGTCCATTCTTGCATTGCTATGAAGAAATACATGAGACATGGCAATTTATAAAGAAAAGAAGCTTAATTGGCTCACAGTTCTGCAGGTTGTACAAGAAGCATTGAAGCTTCTCTTTGGGGAGGGAGGCCTCAGGAAGCTTCCAATCATGGTAGAAGGCAAAGGTGGAGCAGGCATCTCGAATGCCAGGAGTAAGAGCAAGGGAGAGGGAGGGTAGGTGCTACACACTTTTAAACAACCAGATCTCATGAGTAGTCACTGTCATGAAGACAGTACCAAGGGGGATAGTGCAAAACCATTCATGAGAAACCCACCCCCATGATCCAGTTACCACCCATCAGGCCCTACCTCCAACATTGGAGATTGGAATTCGACATGAGATTGGGTGGGGACACAGATCCAAACTATATCATCCTGATAGAGAGGAGATATTATCATATGTTATAGGAAATAAAGACCAAGAACCAATTTTCTTCTTACCTCTATTCCCCATAGACTATTAGAGTCGATGTTTCTCTTGAATGATTTTTGTCACATTGTAGTGGAATTAATTATGTTAATTAAGGCAACCAGAGTCCCCATTCTGATTTACCTACTATAGCTGCTACGTTTGACAGAATATGCACCAAAAATGCCTAATCAGATTCCTGTGGTCCAGGGAACAGGAGGCCTGCAGAGGTGAGAACACCACTTATAGCCAGGTAACACCCAGCAAGTGTCTTAATTTCTCGGAGTCAGTTTTGTCAATTTTAAAATGGCATTAGTGATTCTGTAAGAGGATTTCTGAAAAGTTTATGTCAATAAATATCTGGCAGTGTGACTAGCATTTAGTAGGATCTCACAAACTAAGATTTCTAACTTTGGAAGCTGCCCTCAGAGAGTCACTGTTAGGTTTGTTTGAATGCATTTTGTAAACTGTGTCCTGTGAGTGGTTCCTTCTTTCCCTCTCTGATCCTCAGTTTTCTTCATCTGGAAAATAAGGAGTTAGAAAGAGGGAAACTGTAATATCAGTAAAGATCATATTCCTATACTTTTGGCGGCAATGTAAATAAATGTAGTAGAGGTGATGGGTAATTTGTTTATGGCCAAAATTAAAATATTAGTGATAAAAATTAAAATGTATATCCCTAACCCCGGAAGCTCTATTTAATGATTATCGATTTTCTTCAAGCCTTTGTATGCCTAATTATACTAGCAGTAAACAAGAAGAGAGTAAATTGGATAACATTCTCCACACCTAGCCTAGCATGGAGACTTTGTTTTGGCAAAGCACTTCCTGTAACAACTGATCAATGGAACATATTTCGGGAAAAGATGATCTAGGAAGTAGGCAAAATTTGTACACAGAAATAGAGGAAATCACACTTATAAATTACTTTCTACATGCCAGGCTTCCTGGTAGGTGGAAGAAGACAACACAATGCATTCAGTAAGCACATGATAAATAAATGAGTGAATATTGTCCCATTTGATCCCCATATTAACCTTATGAAGTAGATATTGTCCTATTTTTTTTAAATGTAAGCTTCTGGAGGTATAGTCTTCATTCCAAAATTAGACAGGTCTGTTTTCCTCTCTCATGTGTGCTCTTCTTATTATACCATACTGGACAAGGACGTCAGGTAGGGGCTTTGGGAGGCAGGGAGAGGAAGTGACTCTATTCCTGAAAGACTACCTAGGGATAGTTAACCGGGGAATTTATAAGATTATAGTGGATTAAAGAGGGTGGACATAGACACATTCTTTAGCTTTTTGTATTCTTTTGGGGGAACCTGCACCTTAAAGTTTTTTAATGAATAGAGAACAGATTTACATCACCTAACAGTTGATAAACACAGCACAGTCATAAGAAGTTATGCATGCTGGAAAAGTCTAAGCAGAAGAATAAATGTTTCATACTAATGAATTGCATTTAGATAAATAAATGGGTAATGTTAAGAGTAGTAACTTGCCCGCTTGATCCCAGATACCTTAGCTACATTACAACACTATTCTCAAACTACTCACTAATAAATAGTTGTACCTTTGTTTTATGGATAATTTAACTGAGACACAGAGAAGTTGAGCAGTTTGCCCAAGGTTCCTCAATGAATTAGCTGAGATTTGAATTCAGGTCCAATAAGTAAATTATCTATGCATTTTATTCTAGTGTGCTGTGATATAGGGGTGGGGAGAAGATCTTTAAAAGTGAAAGTCAAGGAGTGCCACAGTGAAATTACAAATTAGACTTTTGTGCTACAGGCTAATGGACTATGTTGTCTGGGGTTTAAGGATATGTTCTGGGGAATACTATGTGCATGCTAGGAAGGTATGTTAGTATGTGGGAGAGAAAAAGGGAAACAGAGGGCGAAAGAGAGGTAAGGAGAGAAGGGGAGGTCAGGGAAAAGTAGGGCAGAGAAGAGAAAAGTAGGGGAGAAGAAAAAGCAGGAAGAGGGCTCCATTTATTAAAAGGCTATTTATCATGCATTGTTAATGTTAGTTTTGAAGGTAGATAACCAATAACCCACGCTGTGAAGGGTAGTAAATTAATGCTGGTGGATTTTCAAAGCTAGAATCTCTCTCTTTTGCAAATGTGGGCATTTCATTCAGAAGTCCCTCATGCATCTCAGCTCCCACATTTTAAATTAAATTTCCTTATTACTTTTTAAGTAGCTTGTCATGGATTATTGAGTATTTACTGTATGTTTATACTGTAATTCTCTGAAATGACATACAGTAATTGCTTTAGCTACTGCATCTGATGTCTAATTACTGTAAATGCATGTAAAGAAGTAATTAAATGGAAAAAAATAAACTTTTCCCTCCTAACTTTGTATTACAGAAAAAGCAGAGGATGCTAGTTCTTTCTCTGATTTTTGGTAAAAGTAAACTCAGGTGCAAGCAGAGTGATGAACAAGTCGCTCACGTGTTCCAGCCTACTTCCACTGGAGATGGCAGAGTGGCCCTGCTTCTGAGCATGAGTTGGGAACTCAAGCTGCCTCCTTCCATGCCCTAAAGTTAAACCAAGGCTTTCTCTTTTCAAACATGTTTCTTGTACACCTTACAATTCTAATCCAAAATGCAACAGGCTATCTCAAAACATTTTGCATAAAGCAGGCCTCTAGAAGTTTCTCATACAATTGTATATTTTTAAGAAGCTCAAAAAAGTGTCACAGAAACAAACAAAACCCCACAACATTTTGATAAATTTTTTGTTCAATTTTGCAGAGTTTGGTTACTTTTTAAGTGAATGGCAAACAGCAGCCCTTCTAACTGTTTAGGGTTATACAAATGATTGTGAACAAGATGATGATAGAACCTAGTAGTACAAACCTAAACTGGGAGTTTCAGGGGTGAGGGTTTATTTTAACATCAAAAACAACAGCACTCTACTGCTTAGTAAATGCCAAAAGTTGTCAAATAGCATTTTTTTTTCCACAGGAAAAGAAATCACAGCAGGATGGACTTAAAGCAAGATCTGAAATTAAAGACTGCATTATTCCTCTCATCCTTCCAAGGGCAGGTGAACACAGAGGGGCATTTTCTACCACTGAGCTAATAATAAAGGCAGACACAAAGAGCCCATTGCAATCTTACTGCTGGTAAAGTTAAGTTGATCCAATCTTTTTCTGACCTTTTGAATTGCCAATTGGAAAAGCACACACAAATGGCCCTCAGCTGAGAAGCAGCTCAGTGAGTGTTCTGGACAACCCGTGGTCATCCCCTTGAGCAAGGAGTTTGAAAAGGGACAAGATCTGTATTCTGCCTTTAAGATCTGGAGACTTTCCACTCAGTGGTTTAGTCTGGAAGTGCATCCCTTCCTGCTGTCAGTCTAAACTAGACTCCATTATTTACCTCCCTTTTGAGTGCAATAGAAATACTCTGTTTCTGCCCCCAGGCTGACAAATCTGAAGCTGCAAGAAGCCAATCGTGTGAACTTAGTAATCAATTTGATTAATGTGAATAAAGTTGGCATTTTGCCTCCTTTATGACTGGGTAAAATTAATGCTAAACATCAGGAGAAGGTGTCCCTCAGCTAAACTAAAGAATTGGAGCAGAAGAGGGAAATCCTTGGGATTCTATCACAGTGCTTAGCAAACCTAGATTTATAACCTTTTCTTCTTTGGCAAGATGCTCTACATATGAACGTTAAAAACAGCCTGCACACAATGCTTCATAGTCTTCTTTCCTATCCTCATTCTTCAATTCCCTGAAGTAACCCTTTGAGGCACTTTTTTGGTATCCCAGGGCTTTTTGGAATACAATTTTATTTTATTTATTCATTTATTTGAGATGGAGTTTCGCTCTTGTCGCCCAGGCTGGAGTGCAATGTGATTTCAGCTCACTGCAAACTCCGCCTCCTGGGTTCAAGCCATTCTCCTGTCTCAGCCTCCTGAGTAGGTGGGATTACAGGTGCCCGCCACCACACCTGGCTAATTTTTGTATTTTTAGTAGAGATGGGGTTTCACCATGTTGGCCAGGCTGGTCTGAAACTCCTGACCTCAGGTGTTCCACCCACCTTGGCCTCCCAAAGTGCTGAGACTACAGGTGTGGGCTACTGTGCCAGGCCCACAATTTTTAAAATTTCTTTTTTTTTTCCCCCTGCGACAGAGTCTTGCTCTGTTGCCCAGAGCTGGAGTGGAATGGTGTGATTTCGGCTCACTGCAACCTTCTCCTCCCAGGTTCCAGTAATTCTCCTGCCTTAGCCTCCTAAGTAGCTGGGATTAGAGGCACCCACCACCATGCCCAGCTAATTTTTGTATTTTTAGTAGAGATGAGGTTTCACCATGTTGGCCAGGCTGGTCTCGAACTCCTAACCTTGTGATCCACCCGCCTCGGCCTCCCAAAGTGCTAGGATTATAGGCGTGAGCCACTGTATGCAGCCTAAAAAGTTATTTTTAGAAGTAATGTATTCATTGACTTGTCTGGTAGTATGATTATTTATTTCTTCAATGAAAAGATATTTTTATATGCCAAGCAGTACTCATAATTTCTTTAAGGTTCAAGAGTAGCAGCCTACCTCCTCCAAAGACATTGCAAAAACAAAGCTGCCTGGATAATTCAGATGAATAGTCTTGTCCACAAACTTCTTTTCTGCTTATCACAAAAATTGAGATATTCAAGTTTAACTTACAGGTTCAATGTCAAAAAGAACGACCAGTGAATATTAGGGCAGTCACCAATCTAGTTCAATGTTATCTATACTTTTTTGAATAATGGATATGTACCTTGAATGTCTTAGAACTCTATGGATGGAATTTGATGAATTCATCTTCATGGCAAGAAAATCATCATTAGGTAGATAATAATAGCAAATATGTATTTCTTTTTTCTTCTATCCTTGACATATATATATATATTATGTGTTGACTTATATATGTTATATGTTGACGTATGTATAGTATATATGTTATGTGTTGACATATATATATAATATATACATGTTATATGTTGTTGCCATTTTATAGGTGAGTAATCTGAAACACAGAATGGTTCAACAACTTCTGCAAGATCACACAATTGTAGCAAATGGTAGTGACTGGATCTGAAAACAGGCAGATTAGCTGCCCTGCCTGGATTCATAACCACCACTCTCTATTGGCTCTGGAGATATGATCCAATAAAGAGTCCAACTCTGCCAAAGCAGCACCAAAACAACTAGATGCTGGCTACAGATGTAAATGAATTTGAGCAGCTAAAAGATACTTTACCCCTTCTGTTCTCTAACCATCTCTCCTCCACCAGCCCACACAGATTCACATTAATGCAAAAATCTCCATTTGAACTGAAAGTGAACTTTCATCATTAGAGATTAATTTCTGTGGGTTTTGTTGTTGTTGTTGTTGTTGTTTTGTTTTGTTTTTTTGAGATAGGTCTCGCTCTGTCACCCAGGCTGGAGTGCAGTGGCGGTCTCCGCTCACTGCAAGCTCTACCTCCCGGGTTCACACCATTCTTCTGCCTCAGCCTCCTGAGTAGCTGGGACTACAGGCTCCTGCCACCATGCCCGGCTAATTTTTTGTATTTTTAGTAAAGATGGGGTTTCACCGTGTTAGCCAGGATGGTCTCGATCTCCTGACCTCATGAGATCTGCCCGCCTCAGCCTCCCAAAGTGCTGGGATTACAGGCATGAGCCACCACACCTGGCCAATTTCTGTATATTAAGCTGTGATGGGTTGGTGTTAAGAGCAACATGTTATAGATTTTAATTTAGGATAAACTGGTTTTGAAACATTTTGATCCAGTTGTACTATTGAGCATATGCTGTATTACAACAACTATGCTAAGATCTGTGTGTGTGTGCAAAAGAGCTTGGATGCCCCACAGGCAATACACACAACAACACAATTTTATCTTTACAATCCAGGCTTTTGAGGATTCCAGGACTCAGAAAGATTTAGATTGAAAGTATATATGATTGAAGGGAAAAAGGGCTCCCAATACAAGCAACATACTATTTCGTTTGAATAGGAAGAGTCTCATTTTGCTTAGAGATGATAGTTGATGGGAGTGGTGGTTAGGGGGGTAGGCTTCATAGAGAAGGTGAAGTTTGAATTGATCCTTGAAAGGCAGACATATTTTTGTGAGTTGTGAGGGTGTATTATCAGAGTAGTTAGTTCTAGGAACGAAGTTAGGTCAAGGGTAAGGCTGGAACGACTCTCATTGTTCATTGCTTTTCTGTGTGTCTCGTAGTCTTATTTTCATAATGATTTAATGTGCTTTAGTCTGTATCAGTCATGGGACATTGGCAAATAACAAACCACGTTAGGCTGCAAAAGCAAGTTACAAAAGGCCTCCAAGATTGACTCCCTAACACCACCACAGAGCTGGCCTGCCTGGGGAGCTCTTTCTCCTACTACAATAAAGACACTGGGGAAACATGAAACTGCTGGCTCCACCCTATCTGTGATCTAGGAATCAAAAACCTGCTCCCAAATTTGTTGGATTTAAATTCAGATCTTGGTAGCCACTCTCCACCCAAGCCATTATGGTTTTCTTCAGCGCTGCCTTTCTTTCTTCCCATACAATTCAGTTGTGAAATTGAGTTTCACAGTAGTGAACCTCACTGACAGAACATCATCGCATCCAGAACCCTCCATGAAAGGGAATCTTGGAGAGGTCATTTTTACCTTTGTAGCCTCTGCAGTGCAGAGTCACTAAAAGGAAACTGGAATCGAGGTTTAGCAAGCCAATCTACTCTGTCATTGTCCGAGAAGTTATATCAACACATTACCTTCCACTATTTGAGAGAGGCCTTTTTTATGGAATCTCTTCTAGATGGTGGAGTTGGAGGAAACTGTAAAATAGAGATGTCACATGCCATACCAGACATTGTGAATTGATCCTTTCACTTATACCAGTGAGCTGTAATAAGCAACCTCCAAATATTTGCTCCCAAAATTTGCTCCCAGAGTTGATGCATTAGCTAAAAATCTCTATGGCGTTTCTGGCCAAGGACATGGAATAATGTAGAAAGACAAGCCACAGAAAGTCAAAATAAGGCCCAGAAATATTGGGCATGCTAAATAAATGAAGGGTTAAGTCAAGCCTCATCACAGTTTTGTTTAAGGCTAACCCCAGAAATAAAAGTTTTATTTCAATCACTGCAATTATTTATACTTTCCTCAATCGAGGAACATTATTCCTGAGGTCTTGGCTAGAACTTTATGCAGCCATAGAAAAAGTGGCACAATGACCTAGATGGAGAGAATGCATCTAACTTAACTGTGCCTGCATAATTGCTGGCAGCAAGCTGCATTCCTGCAATTAGGGCTCATCAGTCAGGCTGGCAGCTGCCCAGGACCATGCTAGCACACTCCATGGAACCTGTGGAGAGAGCCAGAGTGCAGGAGCTGGGAGACATTGTCAGGCTGCTTTCATCTGAGTTACAAGAGGAGCCACGTCTGGACCATGTGGATAATTGTTTGTTTGCTTTTTGTCACATTTGGAATCAATGTAAATAAACCCAATCTGCAAAAGAGAAAGCAAAAGCCCAAAGCACCTGGAGTATTTTGATGGAACTCAGGAAGCTGAAAGCTTGTTGGCAGCCATGAGGGGGAAAATGACAAATGCTGCACTAGGGGGAGCAGGGAAATGGATTGAATGGTCACTCCTTGACGGTGTTCCATTCTGCAAATCTCTTGAGAGATTATAAGGACCCATGAATACACAGTCTCTGGAATGGAAGAAAGAGGTGATCTGCATTCAGGATGTGATTTAATTGCGCCATATAAGACATAAAATATCTACCCTTAAAAATGTTGGCATTAAGTAATTTGTTTAAAAAGAGAAATAAATGGAGTGTTTATGTACACATAGAATGCAAATTCATGATAAAGGAAACAAAAATATAAACACCCAACACTTGTAAGACAGGAACAAAGCCTGTGAAGTGCAGAGTGGTATCTCCAGAACTCCTATGCAGGAGGGACTGGGCTCAAAAGCAGGGATCTGCCCGGAGTGGAGTTGAGGGGACTTATCTAAGAAGAGCACTTGCTGAAAGTTTTAGATAAGATTGGGGTGGGGGGAGCACTTGTCTCTAGTCCCTAATCAAGAAATGGAAAAGAAAAGAGTATATGTGAGCTACTTTTTTTTCTTTTTGAGACAGAGTCTTGCTCTGTCGCCCAGGTTGGAGTGCAGTGGTGTGATCTCGGCTCACTGAAACCTCTGCCTCCCAGGTTTAAGGAATTCTCCTGTCTCAGCCTCCTGAGTAGCTGGAACTACAGGTGCCCACCACCAAGCCTAGCTAATTTTTTTTGTATTTTTAGTAGAGACGGGGTTTCACCATATTGGTCAGGCTGGTCTCAAACTCCTGACCTCAGGTGATCTGCCCGCCTTGGCCTCCCAAAGTGCTGGGATTTCAGGGGTGAGCCACTGCACCTGGCCGTGAGCTACTTCTTTCCCCTCCTTCCCCATAGCTCAAGATCCTTTTAGTACTGCCACTGTTAGAGACTTTTTGGTACTACGTAGCTTGAAATGTTCATAAAATTATAGATCATGCCAAGTTTATCTCCGTAAGCCAAGGCCTTCCATTGTGTTAGCTTTTACACTCCCCAAAAGAAATTCCATGGCCCTATGTCCTTCCTCTTCAGAAATAGAGTGACCTCTTATTCCTGCCTTCATCTCTCAGAAAACATGCTGTTTTCTGGAAATAATCAAATATCTCTTCTTTGAAGCTTGTTCTGAATTTTTGACTACAATATTTTCCTCCAGGGATATCTTCAGCTACAGGAACTGTAAATTTTAGCATTTTCTACTCTTATCAGTATTACCTGTTACCTTGTTCTCTTCCACCAATAGTATTGAACAAACCAGCCATACTCTGAGATTACAGAGAAAGTAAGAGACAGACACTGTCTTCAAGGAGCTCACAGTCTAGTGGGGGAGAAAGGCAAGTCAGAGAAGTTTGCAGTACAGTGTCATAGCTACCAACCACAACTGAGGTTGGAGTGAGGTCTAACAGAGGATAAGGAAGAAACACTTTGCCTGGGAACATCTTCCAGGAAGTAACGTCTGAACTGGATAGTAGACTGAGATAGTTAAGACTGTGAAGAAGAGAAGGGTGGTTCTGTCTGAAGGAACTGCAGATGAAGAGGTACAGAAGCTGGAAGGCATAGTCACCAGGGAAAACAGTGCGATCACTGAGTGTTTAAGTTCAGCTACACCCCAGGGCTCCTGTGGAGGCTCAAAGGGTATTAGATAACGGCTGGGTCAGGAAGTGGTGCATGTGCCTTCCTGAGGAGTTCTGACTTTGTTCTAAATGAGGTGTTGAGAAATTACTGAAGGATTCGGAAGAGGAGAATGAAGGCTGTTTACTTCACTCTGCACTGACACTTCTGCCTGAAATTGCAACCCTCACAGACTCTTGCTTTAGAGGTAGTACTGTCTGTGAATGATAGGTGTCACCTGACTAAAATCACAGGTGCTGTGGCTGGTAACCCACGAGAAATCCTGGATAAAAGTTAAACCAATTTATTTACTACCTAACTGCTCAGAGCTTTTCTAATGCTCATGCACGTGGAATTACTCCAGAAAGGAAAGATTTACAATGAAATGGAATTAGAAAAATTAATTTTCTGAGAAAAACACATTGAAAACCATAATCTCTAGGAGGTCTTTTTAGAAACCTGAATACTTTACCTAGGATTTTTAATTTGGTAACCCCAAGAGAAATGAGAATCCAAAGGGAAACTTTTGCATTTTAAACTTTTAATTTTTCAAGTTTTCACTTTAACCCAAGGAGAGAGAATTAAGATAATGAATCTCTGTATACCTATCTCCAGACACAATAACTGTCAACTTTTTGCTACCCTTTCTTCATTTATCACCCCCTCCTTCACTTTGCTGTGTTTTGCTATGTACTTTAAAGCAATTTGCTTCTCAGGAAGCACAAATGTCTGGTAGTCTCACTTTTAGTGATGCAAAGATTGATTCTTGGTTTAGGTGGCTGTTGCCTGATACCTCAATTGACAAGTTCCTATCAATCTTTTAGCACGAATATTTCACTGGTTGTTGAAAAACAACGATTTTTCTCTTTCCGTCATTTAGCTGAAATTATTGAAGGAAGGCTTTCCTTCATCATCCAGAGTTATTTATTTACTTTAAAAAAAATTATACAAACCAGCTAGGAAAAATGTAACATTCTCTTTAACTACCTTTTTTTTTTTTTACAAAAGTGATTGTTGCCACAGGTAGCTACATCCAACTGTGGAAGAATAAGTTTACGTTTTGCTAGGATTGTTTGTAGTGTGTTATTACTCTCTCTCTCTCTCTTTGACTGCATCATGAACTTATGGATTTTTGTAGATACAGTATATTTCATTCCATTTCAGTCATTCTTTTGATGCTTAAATTGACCTATCAAAAGCCACTTTTCTTCTGGTTTCTGTGCACTTTTAATATCACCCCCTTAGTCTCTGAAATATCTTTGCTTTGGGGCCTCTCAAGATCTCTCAGACTCATCTTATGCATTCCCTGCCCCAAACTGGATTCAGCCATTTTTTCTAAGGATCCCTGATTCCAATTACTGCAGAAGGATATTTTGAGACCTCCTTCTAGGCATAAGAGAGTACTTACTGGTTCTAGATGCTCTATGGCTGGTCTCAAACTCCTGACCTGAAGTGATCCACCCACCTCGGCCTCCAAAAGTAGTGGGATTACAGGTGTGAGCCACCATATCCGGCCTGCAACCTTTTTAAAAAATGGTTAGGCTGGACGCGGTGGCTCATGCCTATAATCCCAGCACTCTTGGAGGCTGAGGCGGGCAGATCACTTGAGGTCAGGAGTTTGAGACCAACCCTGACCAACATGGTGAAACCTCGTCTCTACTAAAAATACAAAAAAATTAGCCAGGAGTGGTGGTGGGCACCTTTAATCCCAGCTACTCAGGAGGCTGAGGCAGAGAATCATTTGAACTTGGGAGGCGGAGGTTGCAATGAGCCTAGATCGCACCATTGCACTCCAGCCTGGGGGACAAGAGCAAAACTCTGTCTCAAAAAAATATATATATCTATGAATATAACATGTTATATCATATCCACGTCCATACATAGAGCTCTTCTTCATTCATTTTTACAGTTTGCTAGTAATCTGTTCTGTGGATATGGATAGACTTTAATTTATTACTCTCTACAAAAACGTTTGTTATTATTCCTTTCTTTTGCTAATGCTAATAATGCCACAGGAAATAACTCTGTGTTGTATTGTTTTCTAGTGTAACTTTGGGTAGGATTCCTAGAAAGAGGACTGTGGAGTCCAGTGATATCTACATACACAATTTTGCTAGATATTTCCAGATACCCCTCTTTGTTGTTTGTGCCATTTTGTCAGTATTTCTCCAGCTACAGTCTCCACAGCAGAATATATTGACAACTGAACAGAAACTTAGTGATCTGATGGGTAAAAAAAATGGTAACTCAGTGAAGTGTTTTTTTTTTTTTTCTTATTTTGAATGATCTTGGGCGTCTTTTGAACTTGTTAAGGGACAGCTGCATATCTTCCGTCCGAAAAATTGTAAGTTTTGAGAAAGAAGAGTTTAATAGAAGAGAGAAGACAGATAAGTGTGCGAACATGGCACCTTCAAACTTTCGGCTAACACCACCTATCCCCATCATTTATATCGGAGAGAAGGAGGAATATCGGACCCTCACTTCAAAGTGGGCTTTTAGTAACCAGGCAACAGATGAAAGTTTCCAAGCCCTGGAGGGGTGCCAAGCTTAACGAATGAAATCCCCTGGGTCAAATTACCCAATCTCTCCTGATTTTCTTCATCTTAATTATTCTCTCTCTTTCATAAAATCAAAGAATTTTAAAGCAGCATAGGTCCTTTAAATCTTTAAAATCTAATGCCTTTATTTTACAGATAGACCACAGTGGTGACCAGATGCTTGTTCTCATGATTAATTTCTTGTCTGTTTCCTAGTGCACACCTTCGTGTCTCCTCCATGACAGGGGTCACTGATGGTAATAACCAGTGTTGCTTAGCTCTCCTTGGCATAAACAAGGAATAGGAAAGATAAACTTATCCTTTTACTGGGAGAGTAATATTTCCCATTCATACCCTGTTACAAGTTCATACCTCTTAATGGATGCAAATCCTGAAAAGTGCTTCTCCTTCCAATTCTAAAGGTCTGGATATACCTGCAGTCTCCTTGTGTTTCTCTCATCACATAATTTGTCCCTTATTCAAGAGGAGTGAGTCATTGAAATGTAATTATTTTCAATGCATTATCTCATCCTATTAAATGCCAGGGTGTCAGAAAGAACAAAGAACATGTCACTTTCTTTCAGCTTTATGAATATAATAAATATAATAGTAACTATGTAGGAAAACCACAGAACCACATATTTTGGGGAATTAAAAATATTGTTATCTAGGAAATGATTATCTAGTTGGGAAAATAAGTTATCCGTAGGAAAATTTTTTCAGTGCAGTGCAGAGGATGCCTGTCATGAATGCTGCCAAGTTAATATTAATGCACAGCAAAATAAGGGACTGCCAGGTGGAGAGTATAGGCTAAAGAGGCTGCATTTGTATTTCAAATGCAGTTGCATGACTTATTTTATCTGCGTGAGACTTCATTTCTCATTTGCAAATGGGTGTTAAACAGCATAACTAACTCATAGTATTCTATGAAGCTTCAGTAAGAAGAGTTTACAAGTGCCTTGTAGTGAAAGTTCAATAAATGTTAGCCATACTATTATGATGGCTGAGAGAAGTTAAAAAAACATGTGGGGTAGGGGACCTGAGAAAAATTGCTGGATTGAGTCATTAGCAAGTCTCTGGTGACTTTCAAAAGGGCCGTTTCTGCCAACTACAAAGGAAGGCAAAGTGCAGCAGGTTAAGGGGTAAATAGGCAATAAATACTTGCCATACAGAAATCAATAGAAGCAGAAATCAATAGAGCTAAGAAAGTTCGTCCATTTGAGAGACTGGAAGGTGAAAATGAAATAATCAAGTAAAATAGTAATATGATAAAACTTTTTTTCTTATTTAAGGAACGAGTAAAGTAACCCTGGAGAGCAGATGACATTTAACCTACAGGGGTGGAAGAGCAGGGTTTGGTGAGACTGAGAGAGCTTTAGGTTAATGCCACGGGAGTCCTGAGTGAAAGGTGAAAGAGGCCCATTCTTGAGATAGCAGCGCACCATCAGATTTATATCCCGCTAGATTAAGGGCATTTTCTTACTAGACAAACTAGCTTTCTATTATACCTAAAGCTAAGGGACCACAGAGAATTATATGACCCTGACTAAAGGTTGCACCAAGCTATGGCATTAATGAATTGAGTCTCAGGAGCTTGAAATATGTTTAGCTGTCATTTGAACAAATGGTCTTAAGTACAGATTAGGCCCTGTACGGTCTGCTGCAAGGAATGTAACTGGCATCACTGTATTCATTGAGGATTTCAGTAGGGAAGAACTAAGAACTATGAAAAGTATCAAACGTGACTATGCCAACATAAATAGACATATTAAGTAACTAGAGAAATAATCTGTTTTATTTCTGGCTTTAATGTAAAAACTGACCTCAGATATAAACTCTCATGTTTAATCTTCAGAATCATTTTTCTGTCCTTACAAAGAGATTGAGAAGCTTGGGTGATCATTTTATTTAATGTCAAAGTCCTATTTTAAAAGCAATTATAAAATAGAGTAGCAAACAGATGTCCATTCTTTCAGTCCATTGTGATGAATCAAAACAAATCTATCATAACAATTGTATTAAACTATGTAATCTGCTCAGTGAAGCAAGTAAAATAAACCAACATAAACAATATCCAGAAGGTAGTGATTTCAGTAGTTATAATGAACGTATTATAATAGTCTCTCATGGCTAAAAATGTGAGGTCCTTGGAATCATATCATAGATATAATTCCAGTTTATCAATGAAGACTTTTTCAACTTCTCTGATTCTCAGTTTCCTCATCTCTGATATGTAAATAATAATCTATAACCTCCAGGATTAGTGACAAAAAGAAGATGAATACAAAGTGTCTAACCCAGTACACACCACATTGCTTCTTAAGAACTGCTATGGATTCTTACGTCTATTTTGCTTACTTGTTCTTTAAATTTTAATCTCAACTCAATCTGAGGGTGTGAATTCCATGAAAGGGCATCCAAAACCACTTATGAAAAATGCTTTATGTTGGTACATCATTGAGGACAGATACTACCTGCTAGCAAGTCCAAAGCCAGTTTTCTCTCCTGCTTTTGGTTGGGGGACTATTCCTCTGGTTAAATATTAGACAAAGGCCATGGGCGGTGGCTCATGCCTGTAATCCCAGCACTTTGAGAGGCCGAGGTTGGCAGATCACCTGAGGTCAGGAGTTTAAGACCAGCCTAGCCAACATGTCTCAGAAAAAAAAAATATATATTAGCTGGGCAGAATGAATGATAGGTGCCTGTAATCCCAGCTACCCTGTCTCAAAGAAAAAAAAAAAAAAAATTAGCTGGGCAGGATGATGGGTGTCTGTAATACCAGCTACTCCAGAGGCTGAGGTGGGAGAATCGCTTGAACCTGGGAGGCGGAGGTTTCAGTGAGCCAAGATTGTGCCATTGCACTCCAGCCTCCATCTCAAAAACAAACAAGCAAACAAAAAATTAGACCACCTAGCTGGAGTAGTTGGCTTACATCTAATTTTTTTTAAGCCTTTAAAAAGCCATCATACCCAGGAAGCTTCACTTAGGAACTGAGACCCACAGGGGAGAGGAAGATTTCCATCCCCCTAATTTATTCACACACTAAAGTTAAGCCATTAGCTAACTGGCCTGGGAGTTCACATGCCTGAAAGTGTGGCTTGCCTTTTTCTTGTCTGAGCACACATATTTGAACTGGGCTGTAATTATGAGAAAATATCATCTTTGGTGCCTCGGCTGGCAAAAGAAAAAAAAAAAAAGACAAAAAACAGGGTTGGAAACACTCAACGATTGGACTCACACCCAGAAAAGTCATTTTGTGCACACTCTTGCTTTAAATAAAAAGTATGTTTCAAATGTTATAGACAGATACATCTACTGAAAGATTTAAAACAAAAAGACTTAAAATTTCTTGTAGATCCCTTCAAGTATGCCTGAGTGTTTATTCTAAGTCCCTTATGTTATAATTAAAGCCTTACCTTCAAATATTTTCTCTGATTTCCTAAAATGATTTTGCTGTATTTTCCTCCCTCCCTGAGTAGATCTTTGCCTTAGAAAACTAATCTGCCAAAAGACATTCCTGCAGAGATATACTGCCAAGGCAGGAAAAAGAAAATAGTAAACGTTAGAGGCATTTTTACTGCTAAAGCCCCAGAAGCAACAATCTTATCTCTAAGTCTGTAACACAAGCACATTAATCTGATTTGCATGTCATCTAAACAGAGAATGGGTTTGGAGAGCTCTGTATCATCTCAAGTGAAAATTAGATTAGCAATGTGGTTTAATGTTGGCCAATAAAAGAGAGGAGAAAGTATGTTTAAATAATTTTAAGTTTAAAAGAGTAAAATAAATGGAAAATGTACAGATCTTTCTTTAAATAAAGAGTAGCTGCTGTTCTATCGCAATGATATGATACATTATAAAAGTATATAGCCTAACTTGATAAAGGAATAGGGATTGAGTCTATTTTTCTGAAACGGAATATAACTTTGGATCTTAAACACTCTCATGGATCTATAACAGCCATGAAAATATTCATTGGTCACTGTACCTAGGGCTTAAAATAAGTCAAAGAAGTGGATGACTGATGAAATCCCTACACATTTTACCTTGTGATATGCTTTCCTACATGTTTAATTTATGTAGAGCCCTTTGGGGAATATTGACTGTGTTTGCCAGAGACACATTTTTGAGTTCATCATGTCTTTTATCAATGTTATCACTTAAGAAAGTGGTATTACTGTTATATCAATATTTTATACAAACATAGGTCATTTCTAGTGACAAAAAGAACTTTAGTTACTAAACCACAGCTTCAGTTTGATTTTATTTTTCTGAGAAACACTTCGTATTACATCGAGTTTCAATTGGATTTTTTTCACATGTTAACATCTCTCAGAAAGATCATTTTTTATCATGTTCCAGATTGATTTCCACCATCAACACCTTTACCTCTTCCCGCCTGAAAATAAAATATGAAATATAACAAGTAAATCGCAATCTACCTTGGTAAGTAAAATGAATTTAATGATAAAGAACAAATTGGCTCAGGGCCCCCAATTCACTTGTTCAGAGGGAAGACACTAGGGTAAAGTTATACTTCCTTTGATTGCGTAACTTCAGATGTCATACAGTGTCACTTCTGCTTCATTTTATTGCTGAAGGCAGTTGTAAAGTTCTACCCAGCTCGAAGGGGAGAAAAAACAGACTCCACCTTTCAGTGAAGGACTGTCAATATAACACTGTAAGAAATGCACGTGGGACAGGTTATATATTCATTCACTCTTTTTTGGAAAATACAATGACCCCAGGGCTCCCCGCTAGTTGGGTAGAACACAGGCTAAATTTAAACCCTCACTTCCCTTCTTGGCTATCACCCTTGCACAGTGAACAACCTTCATAATCATACATGGAGGCCTTACTTAATGGGTCAAAAAGACCTTTGATATTACTTATGCCTCTCTTTACCGATGTGACTTGAGAAAGTTATTTGAATGTTCTTTTTCCAAATTTCCATACTGTATTGCAGTGAAAATGAAATGAGAAAATACGTTTAATGTGAATAACACAATGCTCGATATGAGTTTTCTCTTGTCCTTATGTGAACAAATCCATTAGATTTAACCATATAAAATTGCCATATTTGAAAGTAAAAAAAAATGGTTAAATATAGGCAATTTCACTAGATTTCCCAACATAATAAATTTTTATTGATAAATCACAGAAAATGTTTTCTTCTGTTAAACCGTAAAAGATCCTCAAATTGCATAGAAAATATGTCTTAAGCTATTTCTGATTTTAAACACAGATAACTTATGGACTTAATACTAGAAAACCAAATAAAACCTGTGATTAGAAGAATTGCCCAATTGCCTTTTTAACTGTTTGACTTTGGTTCCCCAATTCATTCTTAGTATAGGATGACTCAAAAATTCATAACTATATGAAAGCCTCTTCTATTATTGTCATGTTTTTAATTGGACTAAGATTAGTAATTTGCATGTTGGCTGGATAAAGGGATATCATAATATTTACTACTTTTTTTCCTCATATCTTTTTTCCCCTCAAATGTAAGTTTTCAAACAGCCTACTCTTCTTTTATTAAAGCTCATATCTTCTCTGAATTCTTTTGAGATCTGCTTCTCAATGTCTAAAAAGTCCATCGTTAGCTCAAATTTCCCGCCTCCGGGCATCAAGATTAGAACCCATATCTTCAGCAGTGACAGAAAAACCCATTAATCTGTTGTATCCCCCTGGCTCTCTGCCCAGTTTTGCACATTCAGAATGATTTACTGTATTGAAATTTTCCACATTATTCAGCATTGGCAATCCATCATCTGAGCAAATTATATATCTAGCCTCCCATCAGTCCAAATGTGTTTAGATAATGAAGCTTCTCCAAAGCTTCAGTCATCCCAAAACTGTGTTATAGAAAGGTGTGTAATTCACAAAGTCATTGGAAATGTATTATAAAGGAAGGAAGTTTCTCCTTCCTGAAAGTTTTTTTTATGTGCTAGAGAAAGAAATAAACTGTAAAGTCAATTAAGTTACTTCTTTCAAAAGGAATAAGAAAAAAATAGAAATGTGGAAAAATGAATAAATAAAAAAATTTCATATTTTATTCTTACTTGACACTTCAGCATATTTCTATTTACATTAAACCTTATTAATTGCTTAAAGGGTTATCTTTTGTTGTGGCATTGAAATGTGACCAATAGTCAATAAACAAAAGAAAATGACCGAAAATGACGCTGATGTATTTAGGGACAAACAGATCCCACCTGAAAGTTCAGTGTCTATTATGGCCAGTTATTGGTGAGGTTTGTTTTCCGTGTGGTTCTGTCTCTCAACACTCTTTCCCACAAAGCATTCTCAATACCTAGATTTTAAAAACTGAACATTCATGATTTTCGTCCGTTATATTTAGAGTGATCCTTTATTCCAGTCTGCTCAGAATGTTGTAGTTTATACCTGCTGTCCTGTAGCCTGTCTGATTATTGCCTAAGTCCATCTCAAAAGTATTCTGGTATGGACAATGATATATAAAATCCCTCTCTATTTAAAAATTATGTTACCCTCTTCTTGCTATGAAGTCCAAAAAGAGACAGACCCATTCATAACCAAAATAGATTAGATCTCTCCAATTAAATAGATCTCTCTCTGTATTGTTAGTGGAGAATTATGAAGAACAATAAGTTTGACATTAGTGTAGAGGATTTGTATAATATTTTAACAATTTACTCAAATTTAGTAATGAAGGGGACAAGAGGTAATGTTTTCATTCCTTTGACACAACTAAGATACAGGAATGAATAATGCAGATCACAGTTAAATTAGCCACTGAAGTCGAACCCTTCAGTTACAGGGTTTCCTCTCTTTCAACTGCTGATCTGTTGTTTCCATCATCTCTCTAATAACCCCAGCAAGTGACCTCCCACCTCTATTTGAACATTACTCCTCCTATACAAAACTTAAACCACCTCTGAAATTCTCCTAGGCAGACCTACCGGTTAATATAGAAGCTTCTCAACTTACAACAGAGCTACGTCCTGATAAACCTATTGTAAGTTGAAAATATCCTAAGTCAAAATTGGGCATTTAGTAGACATGATGGGATGTGAAAACACAACACAAAATATCCAAAAAATGCCGGCAACAGAATACACTATAGAATACTAGCTGCTTACCCTCCTGATCACAGGGCTGACTGACAGCTGTGGCTTACTGCCACTCCCCAGCATTGCAAGAGAGTATTGTACCACATATTACTAGCTTGGGAAAAAGATCAGAATTCAAAATTTGAAGTACGGTTTCACTTTCGCATCATCATGAAGTTGAAAAGTCCTAAGTCAAGCCATCCTAAGTTGGGGACTGGACTGTCTGTACGTTCTTTCTTGTTTTGAGCAGAAATCTATTTCCACATAACTTCTATTTGTAATTACAGATTGTACATTGTGGTCTCTTTCTTTATAAAGCAAGGCTTAGAATTTTGAAGTACTCAGTCATATTCTTCAAGAGTTTCTTTTCCTGCTTAAACACCTCCTTATGACTTTTTAAAAATCTTCCAATTATTTTTTTTTTTTCAGTACCTCTGGATAAGATTCAGTTTGTTAATATTTCATTTATAATGTGGTTCTCAGATGTATAGATTGTTTTATGAAGTTTATGTGATGTATTTGTTCCCCCCATTTAGCAAAGTTGGTGTGACATATAAAAATAAATAATAAATAATACTTATTTAATATTTAACTATATTCTACCATCTATGCTAAGAATTTCATATTCATTATTCTAAGAAGTAGTTACAGCACTAATTCTAAGAAGTAGTTACAGCAATTTTCCTATTATACAAAAGAGGAAGTTGAGCTCAGGAAAATTAGGTAAAATGCCAGAGATCACTCATGTAAGAAGGTAAGTAGAATATAGAGCGCAAATCTAAATCTGCCTGATCCCAAAGCCTGCTCTTCACCATCTTAACCTTCTACATGTGTGTTTTTTTCAGACTACATACATTTCCATTAAGTTCTTTATTATTGGAATCACTGGGTTTTGGGGGGTTTGGTTTTTCAGTCTTGTTGGGATTTTTCAAAGTTAATTCTTTCGCTCTGCATATTGGATATCTCTTGTAACTTTTTATCATCTATGCATATGTTCAATTTACTGACGATACTCCTATCCAAATCCTTCATGAGAATATGCAACAGCACAGGGCTGGAAAAGGGGGTCAGAGTCAGATCGCTAGAGATTTCCCTGCATACTGGTATTGATAAACACCTTGTGTATATACCAGCTTGTATTTAATTAAGTTACTGTCGTTTGGTCTATGTATCATCTTATTTATTTTAAATATTTTAGAAAACTTTAGTAACATACTCATACTGCTATTGTTTGAATATGTCCCCCAGATTTTGTGTGCTGCAGACTTAATCCCCAAATGCATACATATGTTGATGATGTTTGGAGGTAGAGCCTTTCGGAGGTAACTAGAATTAGATAAGGTTATCAGGGTGGGGCCCCCATAATTGGACTGCTGGCTTTGAGAAGAAAGGCCTGAACTGACAAGCAAGCATTCATAGGCTTATTGCCCAGAGCCACCTGAGGACTCTGCTCCCTGTGTTCTGCTTCGGTGCCCCCCAGATTCCCGACCTCGATAGGCCCCAGGTGTGGCTTAACCTACCACTTCATAAGGTAAAAGCTGTAAACTTTAGCAGCATCTATGTAGTGCCAATTCTGCAGCCACACAGTATGCAGGAGCTGTGGGGATATGGTTTCCTCCACCTAGATTTCAAAGCATATCACAAACAGCCTGGGCTCTCAGACAGAGATCTGTCACAGGGGTGGATCCACTGCACAGAACTACTAGGGCAATGCAGGTTAGAAATATGGGGTCAAAGATGAAGCCACCCAAACAGCCCCCACTATGACAATGCATAGTGGAGCCACAGAGGCAAGGCCACCCACACGACTCCAGAACTGTAGAGCTACCAGAGTGCCACACTAACCTGAGAGAAGTGCACGCACAAGACTCCCACCTGTGAGAACTGCCACATGGACTGATCTCTGTACTGCCATAGGGGCAGGGCTGCTGAGGCCCTGGGAATCTAACTTTCACCCCAATGTGTCCAGGAGACAGCACATGGAGTCAAAAATTATTCTCCAGCTTTAAGACTAAATGTGATATTCCCCATTGGGTTTTGGACTTACTTGAGGCCTGTTACTTGCTACTCCTCCCTCCTTGCCTACTCCTTTCTTTTGGAATGGAAGTGTCTGTCCTATGCCAGTCCCAGCATTGTATTTTAGCAGTAGATAACTTATTTTGACTTCACAGACTCACAGCTGGAGGGAACTTGCCGTGGGCTGAGTCATGCCCTGAGTCTCACTCATATCTGTTTAGATGAGACTCTGGACTTTAAACTTTTGAGTTGGTGCTAAAATTAGTTCAGACTGTGAGGCTATTGAGATAGAATGAAAGTATTTTGCGTGTGAGAAGGACATAAATTTGGAGGACCAGAGTGGAATGCTGTGGTTTGAATATGTCACCCAAATTTCACACATTGAAAACTGAATCCCCAAATGTATATGTTGATGATGTTTGGAGCTGAGGACTTTGGAAGGTAATCAGGATTATACAAGGTCATCAAACTGGGGTCCCCTTGATGGGACTAGTGGCTTTAAGAAGAGGAAGAGGCTTGAGCTATCACACAAGCTCTTACCTTCTTGCTATATTGTGCCTTCTGCTCTGTCCTCACCAGATGCCAGCACCATGCTCTTGGACTTCCCAGCTTCCCAAACTGTGAGCAAAATAAACTTTTATTCTTTATAAATTACCTAGTCTGTAGTGTTCAGTTATAGCAACAGAAAACAGATGAAGATACACCCATTATTTCTTTAGAATTTTGGTGATTAGACCAGTAATTATTATGTTCACTCCTCCATCCATTCATCTACACTCTGTGCAAAACAAACAAACAAACGAACAAATCAGCAAACCAACCAGCAAATAATTGACTACTACTGCTTGGTGAAAAGAGGATAAGATGTCTCTGTTATTTGCTGACTCTTTATTCTTGGTCAAGTTGCTTAATCTCCCTAAATCTGAGGTTTCATGTAAAATGGCCATAAGGAAATTTGTGTGGCTAAAATTCAGGGTCTACAGAATGAGAAAAAGATGATGGTGAAATGCTGTTGTCTGGTCAGATCAGGAGTCTGTGCATGTCACTGAATATTTTGACCAAGCAATTTATAATATATGATCTGTGTTTTAAAAAAATCAACTCTATTCCAGTGGTTCTCAAACTTCAGTGTACACCAGAATTATTTAGAGGCTTGTTAAAACAAAAAAGGCTGGTCTCTGTTCCCCAGAGTTTCTGATTCATTTAGTCTGGTATGTAGCCCACTAAGTTTCTGATAAGTTTCTGTCTATTTCCGATACTGCTGGTTGTGGCACTGTGTTTGGAGAACCACTGGGAAGATGCAGAGAAACGCTAAGAGTAGACCATTTAGGATAGTGAGAGACGATGAATACCTGGACTTAGGCAGTCATTGGAAATGGGTTTAAGATATCCACCAAATTGGTAACTGATCAGATATACAAGGGCAGAGGGAAAGGAGTCAAAGCTATCTTCAAAGTTTATGAGTGGAATGAAATGAATGTGATGCCAGCAACAAGGAGCAGCAGAGGAACAAGCTTGTAGTTGTAAGACAAGCATAGGTTTGAAAGAGCAGAGGTTCAGAGCTTGCAGGACCACCAGATGGACATCTACAGGATGTAGGTGGCATTGGGGGATAATATTGGTTTCATTAAGGACTAAATTTCTAGTTTTAGAAATAGAAGTGGAAGTAAGTTCTTTTTTTTCCCCTTCCATCAGTGGGCTTTTATATGCTCTTTACATATGAGTCAAACATAAACAAGCTGTAATGCCCCTGCCTTTCTTTCATAGAGAAGAAAGGATTCCAGTTATTCATATGCCAAACTGAATGGCTGAAACCAATAGTAGAACGTAATACAATGGCAGTGGAAGGTGGAAGTGTGGCCAGATGCTTTTGAGTCCTTCTTTCTTCCGGTCAGGAGAGTAATGGACTTTCTGTGAGTCACAATGAGCACAACTGTTGCATTAGGGTGACAGTATCTCCTACTGCAGCCAACTTCCCTGAATAGAAAACCACTGGATCCTGTCTTTCAGGAAGCCTCTGGATCCAGTCTTATCTCTTAGAGTGGTCTATCTTCCCAGGCACAAATAGCAAACTCGTCGGTTTATAATCTATAGCAAAAAATTCATATTCTCACATTTTAAATGTAGTGTTACCTGTACTATAAACAATGTTGTATTAGCCAGACTTCAGCTATTTTGGGGTGCAGTATGTTAAACAAAAGAAACAAGTCTCACTTGAAAGGATTTCATTTGAGGAGGGGGGACTTTGGTCTCTAGAGGAAACTGGTGTAATATTTCTATATTAATACAAGGACTGTAGCTCAAGAAAATAATAATGGCTACAGATAAAGATCTGGAAATATATACAATTAATTGGAGCCATAGGAAAGATGGAATAAAGTGGGGCTGGAAGAAAAGGGGGCTGATAGTATAATTCTAAGAAAAAAAAATCAGTAACATGCAGAAAAATTGGAGTGATGAGGAAGAAAAAACAGGAGAAAGAGAGAAGTTGTCAGAGAAGTTGAAGCTTCGAAAAAGGAAAACTTATTAGTGAATTTTGACAGGACCTTTTGAGCATTGTTTCCTAAATATTCTCACAGCTTTTTCCTTCCTTTTTTAAACTAATGAAACAATTTGAAACCTTACATTCCAATATATGTTTTTTGTAATATTTATACAGGCAAAAATGAATTAATAGAGAATACATTTGAACTCATATGTTAATGTTTTCTTATATTTTCAATATTAGCCACTGGTATTTTTAGCTGTATCTAGCTTTTCTCATTTTAAAAATTAAGTTTTTCAAAATAAATTTGTAATTATAATAACACCTTTATGAAAATATACCCCCCAAAAGGAAAAATAAATGCAAACACAACAAAGAAATAAAATCAATTTTGATAAATTCATATATTTTTAGGGCACTTCCACTGAAATTTCCAGAAAATCTCTTTGGGGTCTAGGGGAAATCTCAGTCATGATAGATTAGGGACAGGTCTGAAATTTCAGTGTCTGAAATCACAGATGATTTTATTGTAAGAGACTTGAGACCCCGATCCAATTAATTATGAGTTCAAATTTTCATTAAAGTCGGGAAACGTTTTGATAAAAACAATATTACATAGAAGTTCAAAGCGATGATTACATAAACAACTAGCTCTTGCTATGTCCCATACAGACTGAACTATGAGCCCTGCAGTTAAATGGTGAGTTTCCAATATGCCACAGCTGCAAGTGCTGCTGGCAAAGCAACTTCCTTTGTGTGTAGTCGCATCTACTGGCAATTCTTGAACTGCTGGAAACAAGGGATTACAGCTAAGCAGAGGCCAATGCTTTGGCATGGTAGAGTGATTATGGAAATGGTGCTACCAATTAAAGTATGGTAGCACACAACTTCGGATCCTCTGTGGAATGTGGCTTAGGGCAAAGGATTTAAGGATTGAGAAATGGACCGGAAAAAAAGGGAAGGTTTTAAATTTGGTTGTGTGCCATCCTTTTGTGATGTCCGTTCCTTTTTTCACCTGGCATTCCCAGCTGGTGAGAGACCGGAAAGCATTAATCTCTAAAATGAACAGTCTTTACATAGCAGTGGGCTCCACATAAATCACCGAGTCGACTCTTAGAAAACATAAAGCTATTTTCAGAAAGGTAAATGTAAAATTTACTGGGTAAATTTTACACAGTAAAATGTAGCCATTATCACATGAAGAAAACAATCATATAAGATACTCTAAGCAAACCAAGTAATAATTTATTTGCCTGTGATAATAAATATTTCATTGAGTTGTCATACAACAGGGCCAAACCATTAGTTTATTTAGTGAAACAAACTATAGTAGAAGTACCATAAAGGGCCGTTCATGTCATTGTGTCAGAATCATGTTAGTCTGATTTTCATCTGTCACTTACTTTGAACCTTGGTTTATACATCTGTCAAATGACACTAATAATATGGCACAAGATTGCTGAGAACTTTAGAAAAAAATGTATGAAATGCCTAGTAAGATATGTGGCACATAGGGAGGTCCCAATAAATGAGAGGGGTGGTGAAGAAATGAAGACTGTGTAGAGGAAAAAGAAAAACTTGGGAGATAAGTAGTATCTATATGCCTATGTAATTAGTATACCTAAGAATAATATGATAGTTTTCTTTCTTTCTTTTTTTCTTCCTTCCCCTCCTCTTCCTCCTGCTCCTCCTCCTCCCCCTCCTCCCCCTCCTCCTCTTCTTCTTCAGGACCATAAAAAAATTTGAAGATATAGAAATGTTTTTGAGTAAGTTGTCATGAAGAAGGTACTTTAGATGAAATTTTGATGATTATAATAACAGAGATTGGGAGAAAAATATTGCAGATCATGAAAAGAACAAAGCCTGTGCACTGAATCAGAAAAATCAAGGCATAGAAAAGAATGAATGGTAAATGTGTAGAGCACAGATAGATAATTGAAGGAAGATGACTGGAAACTCCAGAGATGTCAAAAGATGAAGGAAAGACTTTTGATCTAATTTAGTAAGCAAAATACAAGAAGGCAGAAAAGGTTTTGGGGTAGGAAAACTCAAAATGATACCATAGGGAAAATTTTGTTTGACCAGAATGTGAAGAAGGGATTACAAGAGATTCTGAAAGCCGGCAGGGATATTTATAATAATAAATCATATCAAGGCCAAAACTCACATCATAATCGTGATGCCTTTGCTAAACCATTGAAATCATATTCATAAAAAAAGAAAGGGAAATACAAATATTTATGCTAGCAATTGAAAGTTAATTTTTTGTTTATAAAAAAGCATTTAGACATTAAATGTAAATCTCAATACATTTAATGTCTAAATGCTTTTTTCTAAATGGCCTGGATTTCTATGTATGTGTGTGGGGTTTATTTTGGGTTTGGGGTGTTTTTTGTTTGTTTGTTTCTTGCTTGTTTTTTTGTTTTGTTTTGATTTTTAAGGTATAAAGAAATAAATGCTGACCTGTCTTCCCATAGGTCTCCCTTTGTTTTTTTCCTTTAGTTTATTTTGTGACTCTCAAATATTAGAGTGCTTAAAATTACTGTAGACGGTTATATATGCAATCCCATGCACATTTTATAGGAGACTTCAGGAATTTTTCAAGGATGGTTTTGATTATCAGGAGTTTTCAGCACCCCATCTTGATACTACAACTGATAATAAGTTTTTTTTTATTCTTTTATTCTATATAAGTTGCTACTCTCATGTGACTTGAAAAGAGCTAAAAAAATATTTGAAAATTTTATGTTTACCTTGTTGGATAATTTGTAAGTTATAGACGAGTTTGTATTTGGGATTCTAAGTGTGTTATCCCACTACTCTATACATGTTAATTAGTTGTTTTATAAAAAGAATCACCTTTTCTTATGTGAATGAGTGATATAAATGCAAAGCAGTGCTCTCAGGTTAGAGAAGTGACATGATACAGTAGCTTAGTGTCACTGAAGATGTAGGAATTTAAAAATAATGGATTCACTCTGCCCTAAAAAGAAAAAGAAAATGAAAAATAACTGACATTACAGTCTTGCCACATGTTTTTGGTCGCACAAACATTAGATTTCCTGCTTGATACTGAAACTTACCATTTAACAGAAATGTGTGTTAAAGCAAATTAGTATAGATGAACATCGTGGTTTTTGTTTTTTTTTTTTTTTTGAGGAGACTGGCAAAAGACTAATTCTTAGTATAGCAAGTTTGAAAACACTAGTTATTTTGTTACATCCTGTTGTTTTTGTGCAATTCAGTGACAGTTTAGCATTGATACCCACTGCTGGCCTTATGTTCCCACATCTGCTGTGTAAAGAAAACATTTTTCCCTTAAAGTAGCATCCGCCAACCGTACTAATTGTCTTCACTTTTGGTTCATGTTAAGCATTACATGAGCAATATGTCTTTCAAGGCATGTAAATGAAATCATTTGACTAAAGCAATGGCTTTCTTTTCAATAGGATTCAAAGAGTTTGTAGCTCTAGGACATTGAGATCACCTTCCATCTGAATACTTGCTTCTATTAAATCTAACCCAAACTGAATTTATACAATGCTAAATGAAGCAGCTGAAATGCAAAATAATGCATCAATTGACTCTTCTGTCTACATGACACCAATGTGACTGTTTAGAATAAAAATTATTTATTGCTCGTTGGTATGTCCTATAGACACCATTACCGAGACACATCTGTGACATTCCCTTAAGCACTTTTATATTTCAGTCTCCTGAGAACTATACATTTAAAACACTTCTGAATTATTTTCATTGCCCTTTCTCATTTGACTCATAAACTATTTTAAGTGTCTTTTTTCATTTACAAATACGTAAGAATGTTCTCATTATCTTGTTATTGATATCCAGCTTAATTCTGCTATGTTAGGATACTATATCAAATATGACTCTGGCCTGTAAAATGTTTTGAGACTTTATGAAACAGAAGACAGTCACTTATGGTAGATATCTATATACTTTTGGGTTAAAAATGAATTGTGCAATTATTAGTTACAGTGTTCCATATTTGTACACTAGACCCGAGGTGTTAATTGTGTTGTTTAAATCTTCCATGTTGAAGATTCTAAAGGATCTTCCAAGTCTTTTGTTGTGGCTGTTAACCTGTTTTGCTGGAATAGATGTGCTCTAGATGTGTTCATATCCCTAACCATTTATTTCCTTTTCCCCATCCTCATGTTTCTGGCTCTCGTTTATATGTATTTTAATTTGCATATCTTAAAGGTAGCAAGATGGTAGTATTATTGTTTTATGTAATCAGTATTCATTTAGATTTATGTTTATGTTTACTCTGTCCTTTTTTGTTTTTTACTAATTCTATCATTTGTTTCCTTACATCGGAGATATTTCTCTTTTGCTTAAAGAATTGTTCATAGCTTTTTTTTTTTTTTCTTTTTTTTTTTTTTTTTTTGAGATGGAGTCTGGCAGTGTTTCCCAGGCTGGAGTGCCATGGCGCAATCTCGGCTCACTGCAAGCTCCGCTTCCCGGATTCACGCCATTCTCCTGCCTCAGCCTCCCGTGTAGCTGGGACTATAGGAGCCCACCACCATGCCTGGCTAATCTTTTGTATTTTTTAGTAGAGACGGGGTTTCACTGTGTTAGCCAGGATGGTCTTGATCTCCTGACCTTGTCATCCGCCCGCCTCGGCCTCCCAAAGTGCTGGGATCATAGGCGTGAGCCACCGCGCCCGGCCCTCATAGCTTTTCTTTTAATGTAGGTTTATGGTTGACAAATTCTCTTTGGTTTTCCTTTTCTAGGAATATCTTAATTTCACCTTAATTATTTGAAAGATATTTTCACATGATGGCAGTTTTCTTTTTGGCACTTTAAATATGTCACTCATTTGTCTTGATATATATTCATTACTGCTGAAAAGGCAGCTGTCACTCGTTTGCAGTTTTAATGATAATGTGTCTCTTCCTTTGGTTACTTTTAAGATTTTATTTTGTATTCTTTGGTTCTCACAACTTTTAAATGATGGGGTTATGTATGGATTTCTTTGTATTTATCCTGCTTTCATTTATAGAGCTTTGGCATCATTGACCAAGAGGCTTTCCTTGGTTTGGGAGATTCTTGACTAATACTTCTATTAATATTGCCTTGGTCCTATACTTATAGATTCTGATTATACTGCCTAAGAGTCTTTCACCACGTTCAAATGTCTCCTATTCTTTTTTGAATGTTTCAAATTGTTTTCTCTACTCTTCAATCTACATATCATTTATTGACCTATATTTCATCATTAATCACCTCTTTTGCTTTTTATAATTCTGCTAGCAAAACTCTCTATCAAATATATGACTTCAGATGCCCCATTTTTTTACCTATAATTTTCATTTGATTCTTTTTATAGATATTAGTTTGCTGATAAAATTCTTTGTCATTTATGTTCTTGCTAATAACTTATTTTAAAAACCTGTTTCTGATTATGATAATATCTAGGTTACTTGAGGGGTCTGACTTGATTTTTATTTTTATCATGATTTTTTGTCATTTGTTTCTGTCTGCTGGCCACTTTTCATTGAATGCATGTAGAATTATAGAATTTCTGGATTTTATCTTTCCATAAAAGATTTGCTTTCCTTTTGATAGGCTGTTAAAGCAGGAGCAGATTACCTTGATGCAATTATATTTTGGGATGATCAAGTTCATTCCCTGTGAGGTATAGTTTATGTCTGTTTTGCCCTTAATACTAGACTATAGTCCATGAAGGGTTCTTGTTAAATGCCAGTGCTATTGTCCATAGCTTCTACTCTTGGGTGGCCTTCAGTACTGCCTAGCTTCAGGCCTTAGAGCAACCACCTTTTGTTTGGCTTGTTTCTTTCTCCACAAATCTTAGGAATCTGCAAATTATTATTATTATTATTATTATTATTGGCGGCAGAGGGAGATGGAGTCTTGCTCTGTCGCCCAGACTGGAGTGCAGTGGTGCAATCTGGGAATCAGCAAATTATCTGAAGGTAAAAATCAGTAAAGAATACCACTACAGTAGTCCCTGCCTTATGTATGGGGGGTATGTTCCAGGACCTCCAGGGGATGCCTGAAACCTTGGAAAGTATTGAACCTGATTGCTATCAATTGGAACATGTTTCAGTTCATGTCTCACCCCAAAATTTAATGCCTTTCCATTTTAACTAAGCACTTATCACTCACTGTGGCCCTAACTTCTGCAGTTTGAGGTGTGACAGCAAAACTGGCATGAATTTCTTTTTACTTCTTCACAATTTCACAGATAGATTTATACTTATGGTTGATCTTAGTAACCTCAGTATATGATATCTTTTCTTTCCTTATTGAGAATTCTCACCTCTTCATTTAAAGGAAGCACTGTACAGCTTCTGTTTGGCATATCCAAATCACAGCATCACTACTCTTGCATTTTGAGGACATGATTCGGTGTAATAAAAGTCACTTGAGTTCAAGCACTGTGATGCCATGATAACCTGATAACCCAGTCAGCTACTAAGTGACTAACAGGCAAATAGTGTCTACAGTGTGAATAATGCTGAACAAAGGGAAGATTCACTTTCTGGGCAGGACAGAGCTGGAAGTTGTGAGATTTCATCAGCTACTCAGAATAATATGAAAAATTTAAATCTTATGAATTGTTTATTTATGAAATTTTCAATTTAATATTTTTGGATCTTGCTTGACAACAGGTAACTGAAACCCAATAAAACAAAACTGAAGGCCGGGCACGGTGGTTCACGCCTGTAATCCCAGCACTTTGGGATGCCAAGGTGGGTGGATCACCTATGGTCAGGAGTTTGAGACCAGCCTGACCAACATGGAGAAACCCCATCTCCACTAAAAATACAAAGTTAGCCAGCCATGGTGACTCATGCCTGTAATCCCAGCTACTCGGGAGGCTGAGGCAAGAGAATCACTTGAATCCGGGAGGTGGAGGTTGCAGTGAGCAAAGATGGTGCCGTTGCACTCTAGCCTGAGCAACAAGAGCGAAACTCCATCCAAAAAAAAAAAAAATACAAACAAACAAACAAAAACCTGAGGATAAGGGGAGATTACTGTATTTTGTCTTCTCTAGTCTATGAAATGTCCAATTACTCTAAGCCACCGTTTTTCACTTGTTTTCTAGGCCCTTCAGCATCACCCCTCCCTGCCTCCAACAATATAATGCATTTATAATCCACAAATGCAGAGGAGAAAGCCAGGCTCCCTGCAATACAATTCCTTTCTTTCTAAGATCTTGGCCCTTGTAGGTTGGTTGCCTTGGCTGCTCTCTGATGCTTCCAAACAGTAAATTTAAAAATCCAGAGTTCCTCCTGGTGGGGTGGCTCATGCCTGTAATCCCAGCACTTTGGGAGGCCAAGGCAGGTGGATGGCTTTAGCTCAGGAGTTTGAGACCAGCCTGGACAACATGGTGATACCCCTATCTCTATAAAAATAATACAAAAATTAGCCAGGCCTGGTGGCATGCACTTGTAGTCTTAGCTACTCTGGAGGCTGAGGTGGGAGGATTGCTTGAGCCTGGGAGATGGAGGTTGCAGTGAGTTCAGAAGCTGCCACTGTACTCCAGCCTGGGGGACAGGGTGAGACCCCATCTCACAAAACAAAATCTAGAGTTTATTTTAATTATTGGTAGGGTACTGGCCTGAATCATCTCTCAAATCACTGAATAGAACATAGCCTCATAAGAATTATCTTTTAAGCCATAGCATAGAAGTATGGTTAAAGAAGCAGGGGATGGGGGCAGTGAGAAAGAAAATAAAATGAAAATATAGAAAAAAATAAATCTCAGAAATGTATTTGCAATAGAAAATCTTGATCCGTGTTAACTTTTGTCAGTCCTATGATGATTATTGTGTGTCACCCTTTTTAATTTAACCTCTGGTCTGCATAGTTTCAAGGTATTATTTGAAAGAGATACAAAGGGGGATTGTTTCAAACCAGGAACAAATTTCTGGTCTCTAATTGCCAAAGTTCTAGAAAATGACTCCCTGCATAATATATGAAGTTATTGGAATTAATTCTAAATCTTGACAAACTATTTTTGAATAGAATGAAACAAGATGTTTGCTCAATTTTCAAGCTATAGAAAGATAAAAAATCCACTGTTGATTTTAGTTTGACATAATTTTGAATGAGAAAAAGTTATTACTTTTGTTCCTTGTAAATTTAACAAAGCACTTATTTATATTGCATAAGAAATAATGTGAACATTAGTTAGTTTGCCAAAACAGGAAATTAACCAGTTAAATGCTACCACCAATTTAATTAAAGGTAACAAAAAATTAGAAGGATCTGAAACTACCTTTATTAGTGTAAAGCTGTAGCATGCTTGAAAGCAGTTGAATGCCTTAACACTAAGACTGTGGAATTTAAATTCCATTTCCTATTAAAAGGAATCAGGACTCCTTAGAGAAATGGCTGCTTCAAGTCTAGAGTAGGAAACATCAAAATCAGCCCGGAACACGTTGTCATACTAGAAAGCAAGGAATATTTGATAGACTCTTAGGCTCTCTTCAAAAGGGCTAAGGCATCAACTAGAATAATTTCCACTATTAAATATTAATAATTTGAACATCAGTAAGAATAATAATGGTAATATGTTTAAAGTCATATGTTAGTAATGCCACTAAATATAAAAAACAAAAAAAGTTCCTTTTTAAAAGCTGATAGGAAACAAACTCCCTATTTTGAAAATTAGCAAATGAAGGAAAATAATTAAGTATTTTTGTGGCATTTGGTGTGTAAACCTTTCCTCAGGGTAACCAAACAGTATTAATGGATGAACATTTTTCCTTGCTGAAATATTTCAGCTAATAAATAAAAATAAATGATAGGACTAGAATATCACTATTTTGTAATCTAAAATGAAATCCTTCATCTGGGCAATGATAATCAAGGATGTCTACCATTTCAAAAATAGACAAACCCACACTTTCGTATATAAAAATACATAGGTAATTTCTCATGGAAGAAAAAAGCACTAACTGTTAGGTAGTCTTGCCCCTCCAAAATCAAACTTAATCTTATCAACCTTCTAGAAGTAAGTTAACTACCATCATAGAGAAAATACAAGAGCAGAGTTACCTACTAAACAGCATCAACAGGATAAACCAGTGATATCTAAACTGTGGGAAATCGTATGGAACAAATATTCTGTTTAATTCAAAATAAATGATAAAAAGTAATCTACATATTAGAAATATTAAAAAACTCATGTGTATATGAACTTTATTTGGATCTGAAGTCAAAGTATTAAAACACCTTTATGAGAAGATTGAGGGGAAATGAATATTGACCAAATATTTGATGAAATTACTATTAAATTATTAGCACATGGTCATGTATGTTTAATAACTCCTTGTCTTTCATGTGTATAAGCTGACATGTTGATAGATAAAAATCATATATTTTGAATTTTCTTCAAAGCAATCTGTAATAAGAGAAATTAATAGAAATGCAATGAAACAAGTTTGACTGAGAGCTCATAACTATTAAAGCCAGATGATGGGTACATGCAGATTTGTTATACAGTTTTCTCTACAGTGCCGTCATGTGCCACATAATAACACGTCAATTAGTAACAAGATGGATGAAATAGGATGGTGTTCCCATAAGATCTTAGTGGAGCCAAAAATTTCTATCACCTAGTGAGTCATAGCTATAATAATGTTGCACTGCAATGCATTAGTCATGTGTTTGTGGTGATACCTGTGTAAACAAACATACTCTGCTGCCAGTCTTATAAATGTATAGCACCTATAATTGTGCACAATACACAATACTTGATAATGACAATACGTAACTGTTGCGGGTTTATGTATTTACTATACTTTTTATTGTTATTTTAGAGTGTACTCTTTCTACTTGAAAAAGAATGTTAACCTCAGGCAGGTCATTCAGGATGTATTGCAGTAGAAGTCATCACTATCATAGGTGTATTAGTCTGTTTTCACACTGCTATAAAGATACTACCTGAACCTGGGTAATTTATAAATAAAAGAGATTTAATCAACTCACAGTTCCGCATGGCTGGGGAGGCCTCAAGAAACGTATAATCGTGGCAGAAAGTGAAGGGGAAGCAGGCACCTTCACAAGGCAGCAGGAGAGAGAGAGCAGGGGAGAACTGCCACTTTTAAACCATCAGATCTCGTGAGAACTTCCTCAATATCAGGAGAACAGTGTAGGGGAAACCGGCCCCGTGATCCAATCACCTCCCACCCGGTCCCTCCCTGACATGTGGATGTGGGGTTTACAATTTGAGATGAGACTTGGGTGGGGACAAAGAGCCAACCCATATCAAGAAGAGGTGACTGTTCCATGTGTGTTATTGCCCCTAAGGACCTTCCAGTGGGACAAGATGGAAGGGGGAAGGCAGTGATATTATCTTGACTCTCTGTAGACCTACGCTAACATGATCGTTTGTATCTTAGTTTTTAACAACAAAAAAATGTAGAAATAAAAAATAGAAAAATATTAAAAATAGAAAAAGCATATAAAACAAGAATATAAAGAGAGAAAACATTTTTGCACAGCTGTACAATGTTTTAAAAAATTAAAAAAGGTTTATAAAGTGAAAGAGTTGTAGTAAACTAAGACTAATTTTTTATTTAAGAAAGAAAAATATTTTTTATTTTTATTTTTATTTTTGAGATGGAGTCTCGCTCTGACGCCCAGGCTGGACTGCAGTGGTGTGAGCTCAGTTCACTGCAACCTCCTCCTCCCAGGTTCAAGCGATTCTCCTTCTCAGCTTCCCGAGTATCTGGGACTACCAGAGCCCGCCGCTATGTCCGGCTAATTTTTGCATTTTTAGCAGAGATGGGGTTTCACCATATTGGTCAGGCTGGTCTTGAACTCCTGACCTCAGGTGATCCACACACCTCGGCCTCCCAAAGTGTTGGGATTACAGGCATGAGTCACAGTGCCCGGCCAGAAAAGCATTTTTATATAAATTTAGTGTAGTCTAAGTGTAGAATGATTATACAGTCCACAGTCATGTACAGCAGTATCCTAAGCCTTCAAATTCAGTCACTACTCACTTACTGACAGCCAGAGCTACTTCCAGCCCTTCAAGCTCCATTCATGGAAAGCGTCCTATTCAAGTGTACCACTTTCTGTCTTTTATGCCATATTTTTACTCCTTTTTAAGGTTTAGATATTTTTAGATACACAAATACTGTTATGTTACAATTGCCTACAGTATTCAGTAGAGTAACATGCTATACCTGTTTTTAAGCTAGGAACAATAGGCTATTCCATATAGCCCAGCTGTGTCCTGGTGGTACCATCTAGGTTTGTGTAAATATACTCTATGATGCTCACCCAATGACAGAATTGCTTAATAATGCATTTTCCAGAACATATTCCCATCATTAAGCAAAGCATAACTGTAAGTGGACGGCAAAAAAATTGAAGAAATATAACACTGTAGATTATTTTAAGCTAAGTAAAATAAGTAAGGAGCATTTAAGAAAATAATTTAAACTGCTCAGTTCTTCTCAGGAAAGTCATCTCTCAAAATTCCTATTCGGAAAGTCTATTTGTTGTTACCAAAATGGTTTTCAAAAAACAATATTTCATGTTGTCATGTGTAATCAAGTTCAATAAGCTTGGGCAATTTTTAATCAGAGGGAGAGAACCACTTAGGCTACTTTACTACCCACAAATACTCTAATGGGGATCAATCACACCCAATTAAAACTTGAGGAATTATGAATTTTTAATAGGTTTATCATGAGATAATTCAACTGCTAAGTCATCTTTAGGTTGATGCTAAGGAGACTCGCTCAAACTGGAAACTAATCATCTTCATGACATCATTCTCAAAGCTGTGTGATGTTCTTCTTTGAAACAAGCACAAAAAAGCTTTCCAGTTTGCACCATAATTAAATTTTCCATATATTTATTTGAATCTTTCTAGCTTTACAGTGCTTGTGTGAGCCCATGTTTACATTAAATGGAATAACTTTGGTGAAAATAATTAATGACTGTAAAAAAACACCTGAGTGACTTTTTGTATATTCCCTTCAATAGCTTAACCTGGCCCTTCTCCATGCCCCTCATTTAATCAATGATTCATAGTAGAGCTTGCTGTTTATTTCACTACAATCAAACTAAAATAGCAGAGGAGATGAGCATTTTCACCTTTATCTCATAATGGTCAGGAGAAAAGACTTCAGCTTTAGGCCATCTAGTTTGATATTTTCTGGGTGAGCAGCATCAGCAACCTCCCCACACCTTCTTTTCCTCATCTGTGAAATCATAAGAGAATCTTGCTTGTATGTTCAAGGTAAGTGTTAAATGAGATATTACATAAGAAACAATTTAAACAATGCCCAGTGCGTATGGCTCTTCAGTGTTCACCTTCTGACATTGGTGTAAAAAAGACAAACCTTTTCTTCTGTGGCTAAAACACATGATTTATTAAACACATTGGAATGATACTATCATTTTTACTCTCCCCCAGGGCAAATCAGTTCCTTATTCAGTGTGAGTACTTGTGAGTGTGCAGCGTGTACACCCTGTGTGTGTGTGTTTAGTGTGTGTGGTAAGGAGCATGGTTGTGCATCTGTTGATTATTGGTTTTGGAATATTCTGAGAGGATGAACTAGAGGAGAGGAAGGTTCTAATCAGATTGTGTTTGGCAAGAGTATCTACTTCTATTTATTTTTAGATCCGATGAACATTTAAGAGCAACTTTTCACAGACTTAAGAGGAACAGTCAAGGATCCCTGTTGGAAACATTTGGCAGAACCCCAACCATCAGCCTCATCTTCATTGAAATTTTCTGTTTTGCTAATTTTATCCACGAATAACTATTTAGACATGACTTTCCCCTAGCTTTTTTCACCCTAGCTGTGGTATATATTTTTTGTAGTATAATTATGCTTGTAGTATGAGTATAAATAAGTCATTAAAATATACAAACATAATGCATAATTAATTGATGTGATTACAATAAGGAACAAGCAGGCAGAATACATATTTGTATATAAGGCTGTTCAAGCACGTAGGCACTGAAAACATTAGAGTTTAGCTGACAAAGAGAATAGCAAATCCATTTATCAATACCTACAACCAGATACACCATGTGATTAATGAATAAATTTATCATTCTGATTCTATATGTATAAAAAATTAGCAGTTTTATAGATGCCTTCTAATTTTCACAAGTTTCAAAAAGAGGTATGATGGTCCTGTGCTATCAAGCAATATATTTTATTATAGACTGAAATTATCAAATTCCAAAAAAGGAAATTTCTTAAAAATCTTATTCTAATGTTTTATATCATGTCAAAATAGCATTTGTTTTTCAAATAGATACATATGCAGGGTCGTTTATTAGCCCATGAGTAACTCTCCTCCATTTGTAAACTAGCAAATGAATTTCTACATTCATTCTTTCATTCATTCATCTATTCAGTTATCGACCAGGTGCTGTATGGTGTGCCACGTCTGTGTGTGTGTGCACGTGTGTGCATGCAAGTACCCACACATACATGTATCCGCACCCTCGGGAGGTGTCTTTGTAATGGTAAACATGGGTAATATGATATATGCTTATTTACCATATTACTTTTGTCTTGTGCAAAGCCATGAAATAAGATGGACAGCTTAATATTTTAAATTCAAAAATACATTCTGTTCTGCAAGTACAAATAACTCTTTTTTAATAAGTCATTGGATTATGTATTTGAGTTTCTGAAACTCTATTAACAGGACAGACACTTAGGCAAATGAGATATTTCTGTAGTTTCTCAAAGCTTGCAAGGTTGTTGGAAAGAGTCAAAGGCTTCCCTTTTTTCACCTTATGTTATAGTGTCTTGAGTGGAACAGCTCCGTCTCTGAAGACAAGCACTTCAGTTTCTCATCCAAAATATTGAGTACTTAGGAGCCTTTCCAAGTTTTTGCTAAGGTACTCTGACTCATACTCCTCTTCCTCTGGGAGAAGGACATTTCTTTACTGATAACAAAGTTGACTTATTTGAGGTTGCCTATTGGGGTGGTTAGAATAATGGCCTTATATATTGTGTCCCATTACTAGATATCTGCTGCTACCTGAACCCAAATGTTCCCTCCTTTTTTGTCAAGGCTCTGCCCACACTTGCTAAAATAATTCTTTGTATTCACTAAGGCACTTCTCTTGCCTGCTCCCAGAATGGGACATTCCATCTGTCTGTCTAGACTCCTTTCTATCTTTACTTCTAAGTGAATTTTAGATCATCTGTGCCACCCTGGAAGGTATTTCCTTCTTTCCACATTAGCTGAGGCCCTGTTTTTTGACAGTCATCATCATAAATTAGTTTTTTTATGAAAAAACTTAGAAGTAATCAAAGATAAATGGTTATCATATACTATTTACCCTTAGGATAAATTTACAGGAATGTGTTAAAGATTGGGCTGCAGTGTTAGACTGCTAGGTCTTAGCTAGTATTACCACTCCCTACTAGTATGACCTTGGAAAAATTACCTGAATATATTATATTTCAGTTTTCTTTCTGGAAAAGAGAGATGGACAATAATACTTACCTGATAGAATTAAATGTGCTTAACAATAATTCTTATTGTTATTATTTCCAGGAGTACTATTCAAAATGTTTAACAATTGGTATGGATAGGCATTTGCTTACTAGGTTGCCACGGTCACTGCCAAGGGCACCAGCCCCTCCTTGGGATTTCATACCCGCTTGTTAGGAAGGACACTTGGAGGCTGAAATACAAAAGGTTGCAGTGAGATGGCAGGTCCCAGGATGAACCCAGAGCAGTGCCTGCCAGCTTAGTGAGGATCACGTTTGAAGCTAGGTGAGCTTTCTTGGGTTTTTGAGGGGACAAAGAGCTGTGCACTGAAGACAATAGTTTGAGGTAACTGAAATAGGTACCTACCAATCAGAATGGACCCAGACTATAGTGCTGGCTCCTGGAGGCTCCTGACTACACCTTTAATTACTGGATTAAGAGGATATCTAAGGATGAGGTGGGGTTCAGAGTAGCAACTATTTATCAATCAGTATGACCATACCTGAATACTTGTGGTATATCAACCCTGATTATTTCCTAAGTTATATTTATTAAGGCCATCACCAAAATAGGCTTTGCATATCTAAGAGTATGAAATTCAGACACGTATGTGAACAAGACTTAACTGCATATTAATTCTTAGAAATTTGTTACCTGGAATCTCAATCTTATTTGGATATCTACGTTTTGAATCTTTTTTCCAGTTAAGTAAAATAACAGTCCTACAATATTATATGTGATTAGATCATTTCTTTTCAAATATTAAGAAAGTGCATTGAATCTTGAAGACAATGATGAGATATCCAACTCAGCAAATACACACACTTGGTTGCATAGTAGCAGACTTACACAAACTCAGACTGAGCATTCATACATAACCTCTGGCAGTGATAAGAGATGATCTACGAACAAAAACTCTGAATGAAAATGCATTGTTTTCTGCTTCAATGCATTTGTGCCCTGGGATAACCAGAAATAATCATTGAAACAAGCCTCTTGTTAATAATAATTACACTTCATTGTATGAAAAACAAGAACAAACAGCAATTATCTATAATTTCTCATTTGCAACACACTCTCATTATACTAAGACTCCTTGTCTGTGTTTGATATTATTATGCTATATGTGTTGGAAAGACTCTATGAGTTTTTAAAAAGTATTTTAAACTATATTGAGCAATGCTTGGTTGATATAATGCAAGCTTAAACAGTTCCTGTTTTAAGACAGAACAGCTTCTTTGGCCAGCATAAGTTATTGAAGAAATAATGTTTTTTGGATTCCTTCAAAGAAGGCAGATTCAGTAACCAAAATAAATACACACTGTTTCTATACCAGCAAAAATTGGATCAGGAAAAAAAGAAGCAGAGATCAGCCTGGCAGTCATTACAAATAAATTTGTAAGAAAATATAATATATATGAAAATGAGGAAGCATTTTCATTCTGATACATTTTTACATTATGATGTGATACCTATCACTCCTACTTTGGATAGTTTTTACACTATATTAACTGATACTTATGTGGTTAATTTATACATAGTAATTTTGTATTTTTCCCAAATTTATTCCTATGTGTTATTGCATTTATCTTGATAGATTATAAGCTCTTTGAGGGAAGGAGTAATTTAACTCCCTTTTGTTTCAGTCCTCTGCTATATTATTCAAATTCATGGTTTGAATAACAGTTTAAATTTTTTATATCACAAGTGGCTGTTTTTCAAACATCTGGTTCAATAGGATGATGATTTTACCGTAATGAGCATATTTTCCTCATCTATAAAAGAGATGATAATACCCAATTCTCATGGTTTCTGAGAGGCTTGAACGCAATCATGCTTGCAAAGCATTTATCCGTGTCTGACACGAAATGAAGTTCTCAATACATGCCAATAACTGTTCATTTATTAGCATAACTACAGAGTTGAACCTAAGTCATATTCCCTAATTTCATTTTTCTAAAAGGCCAAATCAAATTAATTCTACTTGATCCAAATGAAGGCTAATAGGACTCAATAAAGCCTCTTAAACAAGCTTAGTTGCCTAAGTAACACTATATAAACATAGTCCCAGTATGAGAGTGACTTCAGATTTGAGCAAATAGAACTAAAATGTACTACTGGAAATATGAGTCAGAGTAGCCATATTCTTGAAGAATTATTTAAGGTGTGGGCTTTTTTACATGGTGCACACAATGTTGATATTAAGTCTTCATATTTATCAAAGTAAGAAAATTGAATATTCCAGTTATGAATGGATCATATTTGTTCCCTCCCTGGAATTTGGTTCCCAGAGAAGTTTTCCACCTTATCTACTGGCTGTCTCTAAAAAATAGTGAGAATTTAGATGTCTCTATATGTTTTTATAGAATTTAAATGTTCAGAACATGTCTATTTTGAACATTTAAAAATATTACTCCCATCTAACTGTAATTGTGTATCCTTTGATCAACATCTCCCCATTCTCCTTACCCTCTACCCACCCCAGCTTCTGGTACCTACTATTCCACTCTCTACTTCTATGAGATCAACTTTTTCAGATTCCACATGAGTGAGATCATGTGGTATTTGTCTTTCTGTGTCTGGTTTATCTCACTTAACATAGTATCTTCCAGGTTTATACAGATTATTGCAAATGACAGGATTCTGTTCTTCTTTATGGCTGAACAGTATTCCATTTTGTATCTATGCCACATTTTCTTTTTCCATTCATCCATTGACAGACACTTAGGTTGATTCTGTGTCTTGGCTGTTGTGAATAGTGCTGCTATAAAAAAGAGGGTGCAGATATCTCTTCAACACACTGATTTTATTTCCTTTGGATATATGCCAAGTGGTAGGATTACTGGATTATAGGGTAATGCTATTTTTAATTTTTTGGGAAACCTCATGCCATTTGACGTAAAGGCTGTGCTAATTTACATTCCCACCAACAGTGTATAAAGGTTCCCTTTTTTCACAGTCTCATCAGCTCTTGTTCTCCTATGTCGTTTTGATAATGACCATTCTAACTGGAGTAAGGTGATATGTCATTGTAATATTGATTTGCATTTCCCTCATGACTATTGATGTTGAACTTTTTTTGATACACCTATTGGCCGTTTGTACATCTTCTTTTGAGAAATGTCTGTCTATTCAGGTCTTTTGCCCATCTTTTTATCAGGTTGGATTTTTCTTGTTATTAAGATGTTTGAATTTCTTACATATTTTGGTTATTAACTTCTTACAGATGTATACTTTGCAAGTATTTTTTCCCATGCTGTGAGTTGTCTCTTCATTTTGTCGATTGTCTCCTTTGCCATGCAGAAGATTTTTAGCTTTATGTAATAACATTTATCTATTTTTGCTGTTGTTGCCTGTGCTTTTGAGGTCCTGTCCAGAAAATCCTTGCCCAAACCAATGTTATGAAGATTTCTCCTGTGTTTTCTTTTGGCAATTTCAAGTTTGTAATCCATTTTGCGTTGTTTTCTCATATATGATGAGACATAAAATTCTAATTTTGTTCTTCTGCATGTGGATGTCCAGTTTTTCCAGTACCATTTTTCTGAAGAGATTGTCATTTGCACATTGTATTCTTGTCATCTTTGTCGAAAATCAGTTGGTTGTAAGTGCTTGGATTTATTTCTGGGCTCTCTATCCTGTTTCATTGGTCTATGCATTGCCATCGATGCCACTACCATGCTGGTTTGGTTACTATAGCTTTGTAGTATATTTTGAAGTCAGGTAAGGTGCCTCCAACTTGGCTCTTTTTGCTCAGGATAACTTTGACTATTCTTGGTCTTTTGTGGTTGTATATAAATTTTAGGTTTTTTTTCTACTTCTGTGAAGAATATCATTGGTCTTTTGATAGAAATTGCACTGAATATGTAGATTGCTTAGGATAGTAGAGATATTTTAACAATATCATTTCTTCTAATCCATGAATACAGAATTATCTTTTTATTTATTTTTGTCTTCAATTTCTTTCATCAGTGTTTTATATTTTTTATTGTAGAGACCTTTAACCTCCTTGAGTAAATTTATTCACAGTTATTTTATTTTATGTAGCTATTGTAAATGAGATGGATTTCTTGATTTCTTTTTGAGATAGTTTTTTGTTAGTGCATAGAAATGCTACCGATTTTTTTATGTTGACTTTGTATCCTGCAACTTTACTAAATTTATGTATTCTAAGTTTTTGGTGGACTCTCGGTGGAATGTTTGGCATATATATATATACACACACACACACACACATATGTGTATATATACACACATGTGTATATGTGTATATATACACACATGTGTATATGTGTATATATACACACATGTGTATATGTGTATATATACACACATATGTGTATATGTGTATATATACACACATATGTGTATATGTGTATATATACACACATATGTGTATATGTGTATATATACACATATGTGTGTATATATACACATATACACATGTGTGTATATATACACATATATACACATATATGTGTGTGTATATATATAATAGTTTTTGGTGGACTCTTTTGGTGGAATGTTTGGCATATATACATATGTGTGTGTATATATATTAGTATATGTACATACCTGTGTGTGTGTATATATATATATGAATGTCATTTGCACACAGAGACAATTTAATGCCTTTGTTTCCAATGTAGATGCATTTATTTCTTTCTTTTGACCAACTGCTCTACGTAGAACTTCCAGTGATTCAATAGAAGTGGTGAAAATAGGCATCCTTGTCTTGCCCCACATCTTAGAAGAAAAGCTTTCAACTTTTCCATGTTCAGTATGATGTTGGCTGTGCGTCTGTCATATATAGTTTTTACTCTGTTGGACTACATTATTTCTATACCTAACTTGTTGAGAGGTTTTTTTTCTTTTTTACTGAAATGGTGTTGAAGTTTGCCAAATGCTTTTTCTTCATCTATTGAAATGATCATGTGATTTTGTCTTTTATCCTGTTGATGTAAATTATCATATTTATTGATTTGCATATATTGAGACATCCTTTCATCCTTGGGATGAATCCCACGTGATTATGGTGAATGATATTTTTAATATGCTATTGAATTTGGTATGCTAGTATTTGGTTGAAGATTTTTACATCTTTGTTCATCAGAGATATTGATCTGTAGTTTTCTTGTTGTTTTGTGTGCTTTTGTCTGGTTTTGGTATCAGGGTAATGCTGGGCCTATAGGAGGAATTTGACAGTGTTCCCTGCTCTTCAATTTTTTTGGAATAGTTCAAAAATATTTAGCATTAGTTCTTTAAATGTTTAGTATAATTCAGCAGTAAATTCATCAGGTTTTTGGCGTTCTTTGATGGGAGACTTTTTATTACTGATTCAATGTTTCTATCATTATTTGTTCAGATTTTCTATTTATTCATAGTTCAATCTTGGTAGGTTGTATGTGTCCAGGAATTAATCTATTTTTCTAGCTAATTCAAATTTTCATATAGAATTTTTCATAGTAGCCTCATATGATCCTTTTTTTCCCTAATGTATCAGTTGTAATGTTTCCTTTTTCATCTCTGATTTTACTTATTTGAGACTTATTTCTTTTTTTCTTAGTCTATCTACAGGTTTGTGGATTGTATCTTTTCAGAAAACCAGCTCTTTGTTTTCTTAATCTTTTGTATTGTTTAATGTCTATTTCGTTTATTTCTGTTCTAATCTTTATTTATTTTTTCCTTTACTAATTTTGGGTATAGTTTGTTCCTGTTTTTCTAATTCCCTGAGGTGCAGCATTAGGTTGCTTATTTGAGATCTTTCTTCTTTTTGATGAAGACATTTATTGCTATAGATTTCCCATCTTAATATTGCTTTGCTTGTATTCCATAGGTTTTAATATATTATGTTTCCACTTTCATTTAGCTAAATACATTTTTTAATTTTCCTTTTAATATCTTCATTAATGCATTTGCTACTCAGGAGCATGTTGCTTAATTTCCATGTAATTAAAAAGTTTTCAATGTTCTCCTATTATTGATTTCTAGTTTTATACCATTGTGATTAGGAAAGACACTTCATATGATTTCGATCTTCTTATATTTGTTAAGACTTATTTTATGGCCTAGCAAGTGATCTATCCTGGAGAATATTTCATGGACAGTTGAGAATGTGTATTCTTTGGCTGTTGGATAGAATATTCTATAAGTGTCTGTAAAGTATTTTTGGACTAGAGTATAGTTTAAGTCCTATGTATCCTTGATTTTCTGTCTGGTGAAAATGTGGTGTTATATCTGCTAGTATTACAGGTTCAACATCTCAAATTCAAAAATCTGAAACCTGAAATGCTCCAATATCTGAAAGTTTTTGAGCACCAACATGACACTCTAAGAAAATGCTCATTGGATCATTTAAGACTTTAAATTTTCATATTTGGGATGCTCAAATAGTATAATGCAAATATTTTTAAATCTGAAAAAAAATCTAAAATCTGAAATATTTCTGGTCCCAAGCATTTCAGATTAAGGAATATTCAACCTGTACTTTATCACAGTCTCTCTCTGTCTTCAGATCTATTAATATTTGCCTAATATATTTAGGTGCTCCAATGTTGAGTGCATATATACTTATAACTATTACGTCCTCATACTAAATTGACCACTTTATTATTATATGATGACCTTTTTGGCCTCTTTATAGAGTTTTTTATTTAAAATTAATTTTATCTGATATAAGGATAGCTACTCCTGCTCTTCTTTGACTTCCATTTGCATGAAATATATTTTTCCATCCCTTCACTCTCAGTCTATGTGTCCTTATAGGTGAAGTGAGTCCCTTGTAGGCGGCACATAGTTCAGTCTTGACTTAATTTTTTCCTTGTCTTTTCATCCATTCTTGTCTTTTGATTAGAGAATTTAATCCATTTACATTTAAGATAATTGCTGACAGGTAAGGACTTACTACTGGCATTTTATTAATTGTTTTCTATTTGTTTTATTGATCCTTTCTTCTTTTATTTCTCTCTTACTGTCTTCCTTTGCAGTTAAATATTTTCATCTAGTAGTATGTCTTAATTCATAACTTTTTACTTTTTGTGTATTTATTATAAATTTTTGCTTTGCTACCATGAGGCTTACAAAAACCTTCTTATGGTTATAACAGGTTAATGACAAGTTAACTTTGATCACAGAAGAAAAAATCAAACTGTACACTTTTATTCCAATCCCCCCAACCTCTTGAATTTTTGATACCTCAATTTACATCTTTTTATGTTGCCTATCATTGACAAATCATTGTATTTATATTATTTTTAAGAATTTTGGCTTTAAACCTTTATATTAAAGATGTAAGTAACTTACACATCACAATAACAATATTATTCTGAATTTGTACTTCCTTTTACCAGTGAGTTTTACAATTTCAGATTTTTTTGTGTTTCTTGCTAGCATACTTTACTTTCAGCTTAAAGAACTCCCTTTAGCATTTTTTTGTAAGGCAGGTCTGGTGGTGATAAATTCCCTTAGCTGTTTGAGAAAATCTTTATTATTCCTTTATTTCTGAAGAATAGTTTTCCTGGGTATAAATTTTTGGTTACCAGGTTTATTTTTTTCTTCAGGACATTCAATATATCATTTCATTTACTTATAGCCTGTAAGATTTTTGCTGATAAGTCTGCTGCTGGATGTATTGGACCTCACTTATTTATTGTTTGCTTCTTTTTTCTAGCTGCTTTTAGGATGCCCTCTTTCTCTTTGATCCTTCACAGTTTGATTATAATATGTCTTGGGGTAATCTTATTTGGATTGGATCTGGATATGTGTATCTGTCTCCATGTTTGGAATGTTTTCTGCTGTTATTTAAATATTCTTTCTACTACTTTGTCTTTGTCTACTCCTTCTTTAAAACTAATACTCGAAAATGTGTTTTTTAAATGCTGTGCCATAAGTCACATAAGCTTTCTTCGTTCCTTTTTATTCTTTTGTTTGTCTTCTGTCTATATTTTTACATAACCTACCTCCAAGTTCACACATCCTTTCTTCAGTTTAATTAAGTTCTGCTGTTGATGCTGTCTATTGCACTTTTCATTTCATTTATTGTATTTTCAGCTACAAGATTTCAGTTTATTTTTTTATTTTTTTCTTTCTGTTAAATTTCTTTCATACATTTCTGAATTGTTTCTCTGAATTTTATTGAATTTTGCTGAGCTTCCTTAAAAAAAGATATTTTAATTTTTTTGTCTAACTCTTTAGGGTACTCATGGGTGTCTCATTTATTTTGCTTGTTTAATTACATCTTGTTTTCCTGAATGTTCTTGTTCCTTGTGGTCAAACATCAGTGTCAGCACATTGAAGAAATAGGTACTTATGCCAGATTTTGTAGTCTGATTTTATCTGGGAATGTTGCTTAATAGTAAGCCTGTTGCAGTGAATGCTTCAGCCATTTCAGTGGCCACCTACACCTAGCAATACAACCAGCAGTTCTGCCAGTTCAACCAACAGTGCTGCCATCAAGATTCATGCTGGTTCCTGTGAGCTTTATCCCCATTCTTTGTTTCTCACTGAGCCCAGGTGATCTAGGGTTGCTGTCACTTCCCATGATTACAGGAGTATGTGATAGAAGTGAGCTTCCTGCAAAGGATCCCAAAATGATAGGGAAGCTGGGTGTCTATCTCTGATTCTTTCTCCACTGTAGAAACCATAGGTTTAGGGGATTTTTCTGCATGTAGCACTGTGCCAGCTTTGGAAAGCAGGGTTGCAGTCATGGGGAACACATTATCTAAGCATTTGATGAAAGCTTTTTCTTGCTTCTGAGGTCTGAGGGGGTGTCTTAGCCTCATTCATTCATGAATCCTGGGATATTCAAGGTAGTAACCCTGCCAGTGGGTAGTTGCAAGTTGGGTTTCTGTGTTGTGGGGAGTGAAGCTATGGAACTCCCATTCTGTCATCTTGCTGACATAATTCCTCTGATCAAACTAATTTTCAATATTATTATATGCTAATCACTTCAAAGATGTAGTTCTTTCTAAAATGAAGCCAAATAAGTCATTTAGTCATCTATTCAATTTATGAAAAGCAAAATAATCTTTTCAATTATTTATGTAGAAAACTTTTTTTAAAGTAAACTGAAAGTTCGAGTTAAGAGAATATCCTGTGGTGTTAATTCTTGCTTCTCAGTGAATTTTAGGCTATGGCAGAATTTCTTATAATTCCCAAAAAGGTAATATCATTCTAAGAATACGTTAAAATACATCTATTTAGAATATAAACTTAAATGCCCCAAAATAACTAGAAATGGTTCAGTTATAGTAAGACCTTATTAATACAAATGTTTTAATGGGAATTGTCCTATATCTCAGGATGCATTAAAGAAAATGCAAATATTGTTCTTTCAAATATAACTAGCAGGTCAAAATAAAAATTAGTCTGCTTAAATGAGAATTTGAATGCCACATGCATTCAAATAGTTGTGATAAATTACCTTAGATAAGTTCAAATAGATTATCTGCAACCTATTTATGGATCATTAGGCAAAATTGCCTTCATCATTAAGGATATACTATAATCAACTCTCATTTTCAGATATCCTGAATTTATAGAAATGATATGTAAGCTCTTGTCAATTTAGGGTTTAGTGTTCTGTGTTACAGAAAATCCAAAAAGTTCACCAAAATTGACCTGTTCTCTTAGAAACACTAGTTTTATGAATTTAATACTTTTTTAAAGCACAAAAATAAAAATAATTAACCAGAAAACCAGTATGTGTATATGATCAAGGATAGCTGGTTTGTGTTGAAATAAGTCCAAAGGTCTGAAATTTGATTTATTTATTTTTTCTGTCTTGTAACATGGTCTGCAAAGAGGGCTTGGGAAATGTTTTGTGTAAAGGATGTGAACAGACAACAGTTATGTTTGTTGATAAGCAGCCAACAAAAATATGAAAAAAATGCTCAACAGCACTAATTGTCAGAGAAATGCAAATTAAAACCAGGACATACCATCTAACAATAGTCAGAATGACTACTATTAAAAAAGTCAATAAACAACTGATGTTGGTGAGGATGCAGAGAAAAGGGAATGGTTATACACTCTTGGTGCGAATGCAAATTAGTACAACCTATATGATAAACACTATGGCAATTTCTCAGAGAATTAAAAGTAGAACTACCCTTCAGTCCAACAATCCCACTACTGGATATCTATGCAAAGGAAAAGAAATAATTTTATCAAAAAATCACCTGCACTCGTATGTTTATCACAGCACTAATCACAGTAGCAAAGTCTTGGAATCAACCTGTGCGTCAACATTCCATGGAATACTACTCAGCCATAAAAAAGAATAAAATCCTGTCTTTTACAGCAACATGGATGGAACTGAAGCCATTATCCTTAGCAAAATGACCCAGACACAAAAGTCAAAAACCACGTGTTCTAACTTTTATAAGTAGGAGTCAAACAGTGGGTACACATGGACATACAGAGTGGAATAATAGATACTGGGGATCCCAAAAGGTGAAAGGTGGAAGAGGAGTGAGGTATGAAATACCACCTATTCCGTACAATGTACACTATCCAATGATGATTATACTAAAATCCCAGACTTTACTACTGCACAGTTGTGTTTCTATCCATGTAACACAACTGCATTTGTATCCCTAAAGCCATAAAACAAAATTAATTAAATAAAATGCTTATAATGTACCTGTGATTTGAAAAAAAAATTATAGGAGTATCCTGCAAACATTTAAATTTTTACAAAATATTTTCAAAGTTTAGAAACAGATAATTTGCTCTCTTTAGAAACTTTATAACATCACAAGATAAAGAAAATATTTGATGAGTTGAGAAGGTGAAGATTAAGACAAATGAGTTTTCTTTTTAAATAAAGAGTAACTATGCTTAAAAAAGAAACACAACTGAGTTTGTAAACTATCATGCTAGCAGTCCTAATTATTGAGTGCGTCTGGGAGATTAAGACTTCTGTGCTAATAAATGCAAATTATAGCCAGATATAGAGATAGACAGGTAGATGATGTAGATATAGCTATATATATAGATATAAGCAATTCTCTTGTCTCAGCCTCCCAAATAGCTGGGATTACAGGTTTGTGCCACCAAACCTGGCTAATTTTTGTTTTGTGGTTTTTTTGTTTGTTTGTTTGTTTGTTTTAGTAGCGACAGGGTTTCACCATGTTAGTTAGACTGGTCTTGAACTCCTGACCTCAGGTGATCAGCCCACCTCGGCCTCCCAAAGGGGGTACTGTTTTTAAACATAGCATAGAGTTCTGCTGCATTTAAGCAATTCCAGGCAGAAGTGCATTTGTCTCAACGGAAAGAAAGAGAGGGAGAAATAAAGAAGAAGAAGAAGTAAAGGAAGGAAAGGAAGGGAGGGAGGGAAGGAGGGAAGGAGGATGGGAGGGAGGGAGGAAGGGAAAGAGAAAGAGAGGAAACAAGGGAGGGAGGGAGGGAGGAAAAGAAAGGAAAGAAAGGAAAGAAAGAAAGGAAGATAGATGACCCAAAGCAAACCAACCCAAGGACCTGAGGATTTCTATTTCGGCTTTTAGTTATATTCTCAGCTGTGTTTTCTGTCCCATAGCTTAAGCTGTCAAAGTAAATCTTGACAATTTGGAAAATAGAGGTAAATGTTGAATCTGGAGTTGTTTAAAAATGTTGTGAAGTTAACTTCCAATACATTTTGTTAAATTGGAAGAAAACGTTAATATAAATTGGAGTTACATATCTAGTTCTGAGTCATTATTTTATAAAAACTATTCATCTGGGAAATTATTTTATAAACTGGGAAAAGATGTATTCAGTCCAATTAATAGTCCTACTAATGACATGTATTTTAAACCTCGAATTTTTTCTCTGAGTAAAATGACTGAGAAATTTTATAAAAAGGATTTGCAAAATGATATTTGCTAGGATCATGTCCATTTTTCCTTTTTTCCTTGATCACAACTCAGCCCATTATTTGCTACCCAGCCGTAATGAAACCTGGATAAGGCAGCCCCGTGTGCAATAACAGTAACAACAATAATATATAAACATTAATTAAGCACTGTTCAATTCTTTACATAAATTATACCAATAACCAACATCCCTCAATAAATATATGAAAAAAGTTAATATAGTTGTCTTTATTTTAAAACTAGAGATTAAATAACCTTCTTAATAAGGTCATACGAGTAACAGAGAAAGGATTTGGTATAATCTTAACCTGTATGTCATCTCTGTCTGATAGGGAGGTAGAATGCTGGTCTACTCACTGAAGATGGCTTTATACTGCCTTTGAAATTCATAGAGTGACCTCTTAATCAAGTGTCAAGATTAGCCTTTCTTTATTATCCAGCTTCATGTAACACATGCTACTCAGATACCTATTTAAAAATAGTTAATGATAAAGGCATATATATATAAGCATATATATGTATATTGACATACATCTATACATTTATGATATGTATTCATCAGTAATAATGCATAATAAATATATATACTATGTATTATGTATATCTTTATCTCAAATACAAAGGGCTTATATCCTGCTCATTTAATGTTCGTTTTTTTAACTGCAAAGTAGTTATGCTTTTACTCTACTTTAAAGATTTTTTAAAAATAAGGAAAGCACAGAGATGAGCCCAACTATTTTTCAAAGCTACATTGGCAAATGATTGACTTTCCATTAAAAAGTAACACACCCACACATAAATACTAAAACTAGGGTCTCTCAGAATGTTTTCAAGTTTTTATAACCAGCAAATATTGCTTTGACACTTCTTTAAAGATTATGGGTAATATTAGCCACAGGGGACAGAAGAGGCTTTACATAAAACATACCACCCTATGAAGTGAGATAGGTATTATTTCACTTACATACTTTTCAGTAATTCTAGCATGTCCCAAATTGTTTACAGGTGTACATATACTAACAACTACCTGTTTTGTAATTATTTCCCCAAAAGATTAACCTATCATCCAGCCTTATTTATATTTGTCCTTAATCCTTCCCCAGGATACAGATTATTAGGATGCATTTATTTCAAATATTTAAAATTCACTGTAAGTGTGATAATATAATGTACTGACAGGCCAGCTAGACTGAAACCATCATTTAAAGTTTCCATGCAATTGTAAAACTAAGTATCTTATTATCGATTCAAAAAAAGAAACATTTGAAATTCCTGAGATGAGATTCAACATCATGTCATCATCTCTTGATATTAAACGGAAGGATTTTGCCCCAACTACTGTCATACTGTATCACATTAGATTCTAGCCCTAGAATCTGGGAGAAAGTAAGTGTGTGGAGGTTTCTCTTTTAGAAGACAGAGTCTAAATCTTCTAATCCTTTACTCCACAAAGATGTTTCCTTTAGACTATTTCTTATTAATAAAAACACCTCCTACTAATTGACATAGCCGATACCACTTCTCTTCCCAGTTACAAAAAATAAATGCATACACACAGTTATGATTCCAGTCCTCATGTATTTTCTTTTTATCTTGTCCTGATATCTATCAATCAGAACACCTCCCACTCATATTTATGTTGATTGCTTCACTTTCCATTGTTGATACTCAGTTTTAATACAAAGGGAAAAGAATTTCATTTTTAAATCACTATTTTCATAAACACAAGTTTATATTTTTAAAATTCATTTTCTTAGCCTAAACACTTTTCCATTTTCAAATAAATAAGCAAACGAATTGCCGCAATGGCCTGGTAAATATTTGGGAATTAAGGATCTTCTTATTTTGTTATTCTATGAATTTCTTGTAAAGATGGAGACATTTGAAGCTTATTTTAGAATGTACAGTAGTGGGCTTATGCACAAGAAAATATTTTTCACAACAGCAATTATCCTGCCACTAATTTGCTTTTAGAGCTTTATGCCTTTCAGCTAACAACCTACATTTGTCTAATCTAAATTAAACTACTCTCTCAAAATTAACTTGTTCTACTGGCAAATGAAAAATGTTTTCCCTTTGGATTTGTACATCAATGAATTAAAATGCAAGATGCTTTGAATCTCTAAAGAGAGAAACACTTAAGTTTTCATTCAGAAGCAGACAGCCAAAGTACACAAGAATGTCCACTCATCTATATATTTCCTAGAGTAAGAAGTTCTTATTACTTGGTGGTCTACTGATATCAAAAAGGAGAGATGTAAGTTGCACTGGCCAACACTTATTTTTTTGCATTGATTTTAACTTGCATATTTGGTTTAGTTCTTTAAATATATAAGGCATAATTTTACTATTGTCAAAATGTTGCTAGCTGTTAAAGGGAATGGGGAAGAGCAATAAGATCATAATTACAAGTGCTTAATAGCATTTATCCAAACTAGAAAGTTATAGAACTATTCAGTTGCTTTGGAACTAAGACTATAACCTCTAGAATTACATGGATAAATATTCATTACAGACCCATCATTTGGCATCAGCTGATATGTACAACTCTCCCTGTGACTCTTTAATTAAGACATCTTTATACCTCTAAATTTTAGCTCAGAAAGGTTACAAAGTTGGTGTCATATAAATGTAACTTGAGTAAATTATTTAATTAGTCTATCTGTAAATTTTGTAGAACTTAATAAAGTCACACACTGATTTTGATTTCTTTTTTTTTTTTTTGCCCTTTAATTGGTTATCTGTGCAAGTTATATAACCCCCAGACATACTTAAATAAATAATGGTAAAAGAATGCTGATGAGCTTGTCTGTGACTTACTGCTGATTTTTTTTTTCCATTTTCCTGCAAAACCAACCAGAACAACCAACAGAACTACTGGATGAAATACCAATAGCATCTCCAAAACTATTTTAGAGAATTTAATGACATTATTTTCATATTCATTTGAAAACAAAAAAGCAGATAACCATAGCAAACTATATATTGTTGACATTACATCAAATGTAGAAATCAGTGTCACAGGATTGATATCTTGACAATATTACATTTGACTATCCAGGAATATGCATGCTTCCTAATTTCTTAATTTTGTTCTAATATCCTTTAGTTACACTTTGTGATTACCTCCACATAGGCCTTGGTTAGTTCTTAATTTTATCAAAAATATTTTATCTAATTTTTTGCTATTGTTGATAGTTTTTATTGTATTTTCTATTATATCATTGTTTGTATGTAAGAAAGTAAATTATTTTGGTACTTTTGATAACCAGGTATCTTACTGGACTTTTCACCAGGTGTTTCCTCTGTATATTTTAGGTGTTTAATAACATCTGCAAGTAAAAAATTTTATTCCCTTACTTCAAAGAGTGATGTTTTTCTCCTTGATTCTTGTAATATAGGCTAGAAATTGTGAAATATTTTTAAATAGTAAAGATGAAAGGGAAGGTTCTTCCCAATTCCTTGACTTTAGTGAAATTGCTTCACGTGTTTCACTGTTAGATATGGCATTGGAAGTGAGTTGGGCTAGATATTCTCTGTTATGATTAGGATGTATAAGTCGTCAGTATTTTTTTAATGAAGAATTTTATTAAATACTCTCAAAATCTTTTTTTTATTTTATTATTATTATACTTTAAGTTTTAGGGTACATGTGCACAACGTGCAGGTTAGTTACATATGTATACATGTGCCATGCTGGTGTGCTGCACCCATTAACTCGTCATTTAGCATTAGCTATATCTCCTAATGCTATCCCTCCCCCCTCCCCCCTCCCCACAACAGTCCCCGGAGTATGATGTTCCCCTTCCTGTGTCCATATGTTCTCATTGTTCAATTCCCACCTATGAGTGAGAATATGCGGTGTTTGGTTTTTTGTTCTGGTGATAGTTTACTGAGAATGATGATTTCCAATTTCATCCATGTCCCTACAAGACATGAACTCATCATTTTTTATGGCTGCATAGTATTCCATGGTGTATATGTGCCACATTTTCTTAATCCAGTCTATCATTGTTGGACATTTGGGTTGGTTCCAAGTCTTTGCTATTGTGAATAGTGCCGCAATAAACATACGTGTGCATGTGTCTTTATAGCAGCATGATTTATAGTCCTTTGGGTATATACCCAGTAATGGGATGGCTGGGTCAAATGGTATTTCTAGTTCTAGATCCCTGAGGAATCGCCACACTGACTTCCACAATGGTTGAACTAGTTTACAGTCCCACCAACAGTGTAAAAGTGTTCCTATTTCTCCACATCCTCTCCAGCAGCTGTTGTTTCCTGACTTTTTAATGATTGCCATTCTAACTGGTGTGAGATGGTATCTCATGGTTTTGATTTGCATTTCTCTACTCTCAAAATCAACTCAAATCATCAGGCAAAATGTTCCCCATATTTTAATACTGTGATTCATTTTTTTAAGTCCTGAAATTAAATAGCCTTTCATTTCAAATTCTTCTTGGAATTTACACTAAATATATTCTCCTTTTAATACATTGGTAAATTCAATATGCTAAACTTTATTTCACATTTTGCTTCCATGTTTGTAATTGTTGTTGGCCTGGAGTCTTCTGATTTTGTTCTCCCTCAGATTTTCTTACCTGTATTATGCTGAGTATATAAAACAGATTGGGAACTTTCTTTCTTTGTTTTCCTTTGTGCTCCACAGGGCCTATACATATAAAAGACTTTTTTTAATAAACTTGAAAGAACTAGGCTATAAAACTATCTGTACCTGAGGATATTGTGGGAGACAATTCTCAGACTACTTTTTTTCCTTTCAATTTCTTATCTGTTTATTGGTCTATTCAATTTTCTGCTTCTTGAATATGTTTTAGGTTTTTTTGTTGTTTGGGATTTTCATATTTTTCAGGCTCCCATTTTTCCTAGCCATTCTCAAAATTAAGAAATGTATTTTGCCTCTGATAGCATTTTCTCTTCTGTCTCTTCTTTCTCCTCCTGTTCCCTCTCTCATCATAGAACACTGATGTTGCAATTACCAATTCTTCATCACCACCACTATCAGCAGCAACTAGCTTTGGGATCTCTGCCAGCTACCAAAAGAAAATGTTTCACATCTATAAATCACAAATATGTAGACTTATCACATGTGCATGATAAGATGCTTCCTAAAAAGTTCTTAATTTTGTCAAAACTTGAAGAATTTTTTTACATATTTGTAAACATCTGGTTATTAAAAATATTTTAGTTGATTGACTGTTGATCATTACAGGTAGATGTTCCACATAGACAAAGTCATTGATGTATTCCATGTTGGTAATTAAGAATTCCAAATACAATTGGGAATTACTATGCAGTAATTAAAATGATTGAAATAATTATCACTTAAGGGAAATCAAGCTATTTCTTTTTAAATATATAAAAAGATGATTCCAATAGAATTTCTCCTAGATTGTTTCATAAAATATCTAAAGTTGCACTAAATTATTTTGTTAAAGGAGGTTAATATTTCTTTCTTTGAAAGTTTTTTTCTTCTTTCATATGCCAGGCACTGTTTTAGGTGCTGAGAATAATAAAATATTTTATAAAGCAAAGAAGCAAAAAAATAGAAAGAAAGAAAAACAACAAACACATAAAATAAATGTCAAGCAAAGTGGTGTAAGGGGATGCAGTAGTCGGGTGAAGAAGGTTCTTGTTTTTAGTAGGGTGTTCAAATGTGCCTTTTCTAACAAAGAGACATTTGAGGAGAGCCCTACTAGATGAAAGGCAGGAAGTCATGTTTGAAGGAGGCCACTTTCTAGGCAGAACTAGAAGCAAGCAAAAGACCTCAATTTAGGAAAACATCCGGCGTGCTTGAGTTACAGCATGAAGGGAGATGAGTGTGGCTGAAGCCAAGTAAGTGAGAGTGTAGACTCAGAGAGATACTTGGGGCACAAAGCAGACCATGCTGGGCCTTTTTGCCCATGGCAAAGCCTTGGGGTTTAAATATGAGTGTTATGAGAAGTGTTGAGTGGGTTTAACATCATTCCAGAGTGTAAAACTATAATCACATGCATGCATAAAAGAATCATCTACCTCCAGATATTTCTCATGTTGATCCAAATAGAAATGAAAATATTCCTTGCTTTCTCTAGAGCTAATCATAAAAGGTGATCATCATCTGCCAAGGAGAGTGGAAAAGTGTGACAATTCTTCAAATTAAATGAACTCATAGGGTATTTCCTACTTGGAAATCTTATGATTCTGAGTCTGTGGGATGTACACTACACACTAACAAGATTTATCTTCCAATTCTTATGTTTCTCGGGGAGTAGAAAGTAAGGCAACATGATGTATTGGCATAAAGAAAAGGACATTAGGCTTAGATTCTGGAGACTTTAGTTCTAATTCACACTGTGCTTCCCATTAACTGTAGGACATTGGGGACATTGTGTGTGACTCTTGTTTACTATTCCAGGCTGTGGCATCTAAACAAAAAAATTTTAAGTAGGTAAACTTTTAGGATTTTCAGTGTTACCAAAATTCCATTATTCAATAAAATGCTTATCCACATTCACCTCTGCTCATTTCTTTTTCCTTTTTTTCTCACAGAATTTGTGTCTTCTGCTTGTCATGCTTGTAAACTTCAGAGAAAGTTGACTTTTAAGAAAGATATTATTTAAAGAATAGCTAGCAATTAATACTACTTATTTTCATACTTCAGACTTATCAAAAATTAGACCATCTCATTTCCACATCAAAATAACTCCATGTCATAGTAGAACAGACGTTGCTACTAGTTTTAATAGAGGGGCAATTTAAAGTATCAGTGTTAAAGAATTTGTTCAGCATCACATAACTAGGCCTATTAAGTACATAATAAATCCTAGGGATTATATAAGCTTTTTCATTAAGGCCAAACTCTGGCTGAAGTAGGATAAAAGTATCATTCAACTCTAAACAGTCTTCCCTAGGCCATCCGACCAAGGATGTAAGTAGGGGAAGTCCTGGATCATTTATGTTTTATCTAATTGGTATTTAGGAAGCATGATAGAATGAGGCCAGAGAGGGATATTCCTTAGATTCCCTTATCTTCTAAAATAATGGTTATCTCCATTGATCAATCATATTCCATTATATTTCTTCTGCGGATTAATTTGCCTTTTCCATCAGAACATTTTTTGCTCTAGGCTTCTTCCCTTCCAATCAAATATTTTGGCCAGAGAAAACAACACGTGACTTGGGTGTAAAGGTAAGTTGTGGGTCTTAAATACTTAACTCTTAATTATGGCTTCCTTGTGCAACTTGTGTAATCTATAGTTTCTGGTGGTTTGCCACTTCCCCAAACATGGTATTCTCATTGTTTCCTATCTTGAGCAGTTTTCTTATTCTCCCTCAGTGTGGTCGTTAGAGCGTTGTTTTGTCTGATAAAACAAAATCATTCAAGAGCAGATGAAGCAGTAATTACAATCAGAGTTCATACTTGCGGGAGATGAAATAAAAATTAAAAGTACTAACTCTGTGACATTTTGATTATTTGGAAATTCTCCCAGACTGACAGATGACTGTAGGGCACATGGATAAATTTAAATGGAAGACAAGAGGCTCCTTGTAAATCAAACAAAATTGTCTCGGACTAGGTTTTACATATATTTGCCAATTCTCTGATTCTTGTGGAATTCTAGGTTTTTGATTAAGAAGTTAGTTATGAATAATGGACATTTTTCAAATTATTGGTAAAATGAAAAAAATGTATGTTTTACAAATGAACAAAAAGAAAGTAGTCTGTTTTCTAAGGAAAAGGAGTGGTACAAGTTTCCACCTTTAAAAAAATTATATGTTCTTGTTTTTTTTTTAAATGGTAAATCTAGTAACAGAGTTCTACTTTTGCTAGACAGGTGGCTCTTCAATTAAGACACCGTTGTGTTGAGCAATAAATCAGTATTCATGTAGTCATATTCACTTTGTTCAAGTCCTCCGATTCACACAGCGGGATCTTCACACATTTTTCAAACAGAAGTGATACAGCCACCAGTTAAATAACTGCAAGAAACAAAAAGAGTATCCAGACGTTTTAGAAAATAACACCAGACATTCTGTGCAAATCGTCTTTCCACCCCTCTCTTCCTTAACTCAGCTTTTAGTGAGTGAGTGATAACATTGTGGGGGAGAAAGGACCAGGAAATGTAAAAGCTTCTACCACTTTTTGGATGCTTTGTAAGAGAATGGGGCAGTTGTAATAACCTTCCATTGATTCAGTGTCTTCTTTTCTAAAATGGTAAATTATTTCTTGTTTAGTGATGGAAAAGAATTAAGTGATAATTTGGAAGACAAATTTAAAATGTTTAATTGTGTTATATAACTATAAAGTGGAAGCATCAACTTCCAATCAGTACTAGTTCTATTCTTCTTTAAGGCTTTTTGCAACATTTCTGTTACTTAACAAAACATACAACCATAGTAGTAGTTTTGGCTAGTTAATTGTTCCTATTTTAAATTATATGACTTATTGAAATGAGTATCTATTGAGAAATAAGGTTTTAGTTTCAACTCAGCCACTTCTTATTTGGGCACCATGGGCAAAAACCTAATTTTTCATTTTCCTTATCTTTAAAATGGGGAAAAGAATGTCTGCTACATGAACTCCATGGTGGATTAATGGGAAAACACAAAATCCGTGACAGAATTTGGTTAAGGAAATAACAACAAAAAATTGGTACAATGATCTGTGAATAAAGGAAATAGCTCTGGCAAAAGTATGATTGTGAACAACCTGAAAGTCAGAAATGCAATGATAAGAATAGGTGTCATTTATTTCAGTGCTTCCTCCATACTGGACTCTATACTGAGTTCATGCCATACATTTCTCACTATTACACTATGAGGGAGACAGGAAGGCCAAGATAGGTTAAATAATTTAATGAATATTAATATACCTCTAAACCAGGATTGTCTGTCTCCAGGATTCTTTAAATCACTACCATTAACCTCCTTAAGAAGTATACCTGCTCTCTTCTTACAACACTTTAGGATGATTGATGTTTCACAGAAGTTACCTGCAATTACTTGGGTGGGATCCTCTTCCATTGTCTCTGTAAATCCACTAACAGAAACTGAGAATAAGCAAACATTTGTACATGTCTGCTTGTACAAAGATGAACTGGAAATAAGATTACTAAAATTAAGAGGAGTATGTATTGAAGTCAAATCAAGTGGTACCCCATCTTTAAAAATGAGCAGAATTGGGAGGAAGATAGATCTTGGAAGCAGTTAATCAAAGCCCTTGTCATTTATAGCATTTACAGAAATAGTTACAGGAGAAGAAATGTCAAATAACAGAAGCAGAAACAAGTAGTAGTTCTTCTCAGACACAGACTAATTCTTATTTTGTTATATTACACAGTTACCTAAGTTAATAATTTTTTTACTCATTGATCTAAAAGAAACCACTTATCAGATGTAATTTTTAAATGTTATAGATTTGTTTTTCATGTAGAGAAATCAATGCCCTATGTAGGATATAAGATCTAGAATTTTTTTCTTTTTAAACAAAATTGGTGAGAGAGAAATCTGTCTTCTCTCTTTTTTTTTGTTAAAGAAAACAAAGAAGGCTTTGAGAGTTGTAATGTTTTAGACTTCTGTAATTGACTTGATGGATTGCACTTAATTGATTTAAGGTCTACACTCATAGACAAAGAGTTGGGACCTAAGTGAAGAGCCAGAAGCTTATTCTGCAGGGCTATGTATTTGAATGCAAAGCCAGAGGAGTAATTTTTAAAGAAAATATTAGAGCTAACTTTTCTAGGAATGTCTTTTATAAATGAATTATTATTATTGGACATGCTTTGTTTTATAGTTAAGCAACTGCTGAGAAAATTTTACAACTTAATTCAAATCCTAGAAGAAACAAATTAACTCCATTGAACTTAAAATTAATTTTTCATTATGAAGATTTTTTGTTCTTGGTCTTCTTGTTTCTTATTACTAATTACATAACCTCTCAATGAAGTCCTCCACGACATAATTTTTCCTCTTCTCTTTATGACAATGAATCAGGCATTCACAGCTTCAAAAGGACACTCACTTTCTTTGTATGTTCATTTAGTACCAAAAAAACTCAACATAAAGAGCACTGACCTCTTTCTGCTTCACACATGTCCTTTCCTTCTGCTGGTTAATAGCAACAGTAGTCTTTTGGATGTATGGAAGCAAAGATGTCAACCAACAAGAGCTCCACCGTGTTCCTACATCCAGTCAGTCATAGGTGTCTTAATTTCTTCATCTCTAAACCAAACTGATGATATGGTAACCTTTCATTATAAACTCTCTTGAGATTAATTCCCTTGGAAGAACAACTAAACATATCTTCCCAAGGTGTAGCTCTGATTAGGTCATTACTATGTTAATACAAAACAAAAACCCAATCATTCCTAGAAACTCCATCTGCTTTTTGCTGAGTAATTGTCAGCAGTATTGATATTCAGTGCAATTTATAATCCACTGCAATCTCACGTTTTTCTTATCTGGCCTTCTTTCTCACTCATTCTGTTTATTCACTGTATACTCACTCACCAAGTACTAAAAAAGTGTGTTGGCTTTTCCTCAGCTACCACAAAGCTGAGGTGAGAAAATGGTGGGGAGGCTCTTCAGAGAGGAGTCAACAGAGTTCTGGGGCCCTACCCTCACTTCCACCAGAACAGCTTGATGTTTACTCAGCTGACAAATTGAGCTTATTGAAGCTTACATTTAGAGAATTGAATGATTTAGACAGTTTTAAAGATTGCTGCCTCTGGCCAACATTCATACCAACCCTTTCCAAACCTGATGCCTGTTTCCTTCCTGCCCCTAAGTATTGGGCTCTTTTCTCTTCCCTGAAATCCCTTCCACTCCAATAGTTCTCCATAAAAAAGATTGTCAACATCCTTCCGGTCCAGACTCAAGTGACATTTTCTCCAAAAAGCTTTCTTGGATTTTTCCCGGGGAACTATGAATTTTTCCTATTCTGAACTTTCAAAGTACTTTGGCTACATCCCATATTCTTTTGTATTGTAAATTCATGTGTGTATCTTATTTCTTTGGGGGATGTGGGGTGATAAGGAGCCTTTTGAGAAAAAAGAAAGCATCTCAATTTGTTTTAGTGGTCTCCCACTGAGTTTACCATAGAGCTTTGAACCTAATAGTACTCAAATTTATTGACAAAACATGTAGCACAAAGAATGTTGGGATGCTAGCACATCCTTTCCAGGGAACTCACAGAAACTCATTCCCTAGGAATATTCCAGCTTGTGACACCACCCCTTAAGTAATTTATGAATAATTATGCTTGGGGAATAAAGAGGGTTTCTATAAGGTGTATATGTTTTTTAAAATCCCATTTCATTTATTTTTTTAAGTTATAAAATTAGCTGTAGGCACTAATATCCTAATATTTACTAGTCTTTTCAAAATAAAGATAAAGAGAATAAAAACTTAACATCAGAATCAATAAGAAACTTTTTTAAAAGGGTTATATTTTCTGAGTAATCAAAAAAAGAAAGTTGATAGTCAGAAAAAAAGATTAATGAGGCCGGGTGCAGTGGCTCACGCCTATAATCCCAGCACTTTGGGAGGCCGAGGCAGGCAGATCATGAGGTCAAGAGATTGAGACCATCCTGGTCAACATGGTGAATCCCCGTCTCTACTAAAAATACAAAAATTAGCTGGGTGTGGTGGCGTGCACCTATAGTCCCAGCTACTTGGGAGGCTGAGGCAGGAGAATCACTTGAACCCAGGAGATGGAGGTTGCAGTGAATCAAGATCACACCACTGCACTCTAGCCTGGCGACAAAGCAAGATTCTGTCTCAGAAAAAAAAAAAAAAAAAAAAGATTAATGAGAAGTTTATTCTGTATAAAATAGAAATCTGGAATATATTTATTGGAGAGGCCAACATTTTCTTTTAATAATCCATTGTATTTCTTAAATTAGAGTAACATCATTGTCTTCTCTCTGTTCTGTGGACTCCAGAGGCATATGCCCTGTACCTTGAATGGATCACCATCAACATACCCTCCAAGTGTTCTATGGACTTTTTCCTTCCTTTTGACATTCTTTTACAATTCTCTTTACTTTATGTTCTAATCAATCCATGCTGGCCAAAGCTGCAGTTACAGTTAATCAACGTTCATATCAACAGAGACAGAGCAATAATGAGAAACTGCTGATCAGTAATAAACAGGTTTGGGCCATGTTTTATAAATAGCTTGCAGTAAGGGAGGACTAGTCTTATTGACTTAACTCATAAACGACTTATAATTTATTTTCAAGCCTTAACCAGGCAAGTGTATCTCAAAACAAGCAGTAGAGTGGCTGTATTTCTACTGAGAAAAGCAAAAGGTTTAAATTATTATTGAGGGTATGAGTTAAGTTGGGATGTAGGTGGGGCATAGGGAAAAGACATAATAATAAGTCAAGGTTTATGCAACAATAAAACAAACGGTACTTTTACTCTGATTTCCAACTCAAAGTCATTCTTTGAATCTAATCTAACTTTAGTTTTCTATCCAGCAATCTCATATGTTCCCAAGATAGTCTTTTGAAAATTTTTAACTGGTTAACTTTTACTTACTCCTCCAACTTGTTTATTCTTACAACAATAATGTTTAAATATGCAATTTTTAATTAATGTTTTCTCTCTTCTTTACACATATCAAATCCAGTATAAACATTAAGTTCTATTCATATGTGGTTTCTGTTTCTGCAATGTATTTACTATTTGCACTATGCAATTAGTACATTATAAATATACTTGCCTATTCTCTGTGTCTTTCATGGGTATTTTATTTTCCTCAGCAGGACAAAAAGCTACTTGAGGACAGGAACTCGGTCTTAAACTTTATACACATCCATATGGTTCTCAAAAAAATACTAAGCACCAAGTAACTACTCAAAATTACTTATTGATGGTCAGCTTTACAGTTGGAATTACAAGCTCAGGCTTTAAAGGGCCAAGGAGGTAGTACAAAAAATAAGATCAACAGATGTATTTGGAAATACTTTGCAAGTGAATGTGGGGTAGGGTTACATAAAGAATATAGGCCCTGACCCCAAAAAAGTAGCCACTATTCAGCTCTAACTTTTTATTGTTGCAGGAAACATGGTCTTAGCACTATCAGGTATTTTAGCTTTTCCAGAGATAGTATTGTCAAAATGCTATTAGAATTTTTTTTTAATTTTAAATTCAGGAAATGATTTTAATTTCAACCCACCATAAAGCAAGTAAGTAATCAGATGATCTGTGCTTTGCATCTGTCTACATTTTACCAGTTATGAATCTCAGCTTTATGAAAATTAATACTAATACATTGGTAACTTTAGTAAATTTAATTTCTAGAAGTGTCTATGTCTGTATAGTTGATAGTTCAAAGGACAGAAGTGACAATTTCTTGGGTGAAACTAAACCAGTATATGTACTGTCAATTTTCATATTGAGAGGTAAAAATTTGTTGTTTGAATGATAATTTCTGGGAGAATTTTCCACAGGTTTATTATGGAGCATTGATTGCACTAAGGAGAAGCCCAGTCTTAATTAACATATGTAGTTATATTGTTTTCAAGAACAAAATACAGAACTAAAGAGAAATACATAATTCTTACTATAAATTGAGAGAAAATGTTTTTCACTGGATTCTTCGGTAAACTTTGGAATTGAAAAGATGCTCTTGCTACGTTCCTCAACTATTCAATTTCTAGACTTTGACCATTCTCTCCCAGCCACAGCTGGGTGAAAGGAGTGAGAGAGAATGGAAAGAGACCTTAAAACTCTCTGTATGTACTTGTAGAAATGGGGAAACAATACATAGAAAAGATGACTCTAATTTCCTGGTTCTCTATGTTTTCCCATCAATGGATTAAACAAAGAGACAAAAACATCAACAACATAAAAAACTATTTAGCAAAATAGAAAAAAATAGAGATGAAATACATGCTGGAGCTGTGTAAGAGTGCAAACTTATTTTAAGCATTCTCACACACTTCCTTCTTGTTTGAGTATTATATGCTTAGAAAATGTGTTCTTAAAAATGATGGTAAAGGAAATCTAAATGTATCAAAAGGAACACATTTGGAAGAGTTAGGTGGCAAAAGGCATATCTTTCGTTTAATAAATGATACCTTTACTGTGATATATGCTGGCTGGTGATGCACTATATTTACTTTAAATGAAATTCTTTGATGCAATATTGCTTTGATTTATTGGGTGGTTTTTTGATTTAGTAGGAGACAGTTTTGAGTCAGATGGTGGAGTTGATTTACTAGAGAAGGTATTTGATTTGATAGATGATGTATCTTCTTCAGTGTTCAATAAGTAATGATTCAATAGTGAATGTCTGATTTGGTAAGTGAACTATTAGATTTGATTTTGATCTATTTTCTCAGTAAGAGATACATTTATTTTAATAGTTGATGTATCTATTTTAATGTAAAATGTGTCAAATTTATGACTCCATGTTCTTTTTTTCTGCACTTGTGATTTATGAATTTTATGACTAATATATATGTTTCAATTAAAGGTAATATGGAACATTCATTACATTCTGCAGAGTTAAATTATTCCAAAACCTATCTGAAAGTTTTTCCCCTTTTCTGATAAGATGGTTGCAGTTAGTAAGGTGATAAAATATAACTCAGCTCAAGGAAATACAAACATATCTTTGACAGAAACAAGTTATGTGTGTGAATATGTATGCATTTAAATTAAGTTAAATTATAATACATACACTAGGTTAATAAATAAATTTTCCATTTTTCTTTCTGCCCTTCAAAAGTGGCTACTCCAGTTACTATTCTCAAGTTTTCATCTTCTCTAATAAAAAGCTTGCTGATTTTTTTTTTCATTTAAAAATACTGATTAGCCTGGCTACTACCTTTGGATTTACTTTCAGCTTTCCTTATCATGACTTATTGCCTGAAATTTATAGATTGATAGATGAATTACTATACACTGCAAAAAATAATTCTACTTGATACAGTTTTGAACCAGCATTCATAATGTTTGCTTAAGATGTGATTCACTGAATCTGACCGAGCGCAGTGGCTCATACCTTTGGGAGTGCAGTGGCAGTCCACTTGGTCAGGAGTTTGAGACCAGCCTTGCCAACATGCTGAAACCCTGTCTCTACTAAAAGTACACGAATTAGCCAGGCGTGGTTGCGCGTGCTTGTAGTCCCAGCTCCTCGGGAGGCTGAGGCAGGAGAATCACTTGAACCTGGGAGGCAGAGGTTTCAATGAGCCGAGATGATGCCCCTGCACTCCAGCCTGGGTGACAGAGCGATATTCTGTCTCAAAAAAAAAAAAAAAAAAAAAAGAGGGTGTAATTCACTGAATCTGATTAGAAAAGCTACACATCTTTATCACATAAGCTGAAATATAAAATGTGACCAAATTTGAAGGAAGTAAAATACCTGATATACGCCATCTTAGAGAATTTCACGGTGTCTAAGAAAACACAGTAAAAAAGAAAAAGAAAAAAAAGAAAATATGATGAAACACAAATTATGTTCTATGCTTCTTTAATGATGTGGTCTGTTCCTTGGGTAGCTGTGCTTGGCTTTCATTTGTCTCACAATAAAGGCAAGTATAAATAGATGCACATTACTTGTTAGTACATCACAAAGAGAAGCAGCAGCATGGCATACGGGTCAGAATACAGACTGGGTTCGCCAGCCCAGGTTTTCATCCTGGCTCTGGCCTAATTCTGTCCTCATGGGAAGTTATTTAACCTATTAGTGTGTCACTTATTTCATTTTTAAAGTATAGATAAAACTTGTAATGGTTATTAGGGTTAGTATTTGTAAAGAACCTAGAGCAGTAAGTACTATGTAAGTGTTTATTAAATTAAAATAAAACACAAATAGGGCTTTCAGAAAACCAAAATGAAGACGACTTATGAAAAACCAAGGAATTAGATTACAGACCTGGTTTGTATGATCTCATCTCTTTATTGAAACTCTGCAATTATCCTGATACACATGTCAGTGAATTACTACATTAGGCATTGAGATTCTGCCCTACTCTTTGATAAACTAAATTTGAAGATCTTAACCTGAATGTCTATGAATTGGATAAAGGACTAAATAAAATTCTGGTAGTTCCTACCACAGATTAAAAAGCAGCGGTGAAAAAGAATAATCTCCACATACATGAACATGGATATATGTGTGCATGTTTATATAAAAAGTTAAAAAGGTATGGAAACACAGTAATAATAATATTTTTCTTGAAGACGTTTAAGGGGATCAAAATAAACAGTAATGGTCAAAGGAGATTTTTGCTTTATAATACTTTAAAAAAATCACCTATTTCTGTATTAAATTAATATTAAATACTAATTTAAAATGGAATATTCCATAAAATGATCTAGTCGATGAAAAAAATTGTAAGAAGTTTTAATCAGTCTTTATTTTTGCTACCATATGCTTGGTTAGCCCAAATTAAAAACATATATTTTTGTATGACTGATTTTTATATTCTGAGTTTAAAAATATCTCAGTTCAGAATTTCCTTTAAGTATATATATCCTTGTAAATTTTCTACCTAAGTAGAAGTCTAGCTGAAGTTGATATCATAAAAGAAGTCAGTCTTCTGTTTTTTTTTTAGTTTTTTAGATAGCCGGTCTAGCGCGGTGGCTCACGCCTGTAATCCCAGCACTTTGGGAGGCCGAGGCTGGCGGATCACAAGGTCAGGAGATGGAGACCAACCTGGCTAACACGGTGAAACCCCGTCTCTACTAAAAAAATACAAAAAAATATTAGCCAGGCGTGGTGGCGGGCACCTGTTGTCCCAGCTACTCGGGAGGCTGAGGCAGGAGAATGGCGTGAACCCGGGAGGCGGAGCTTGCAGTAAGCTGAGATTGTGCCGCTGCGCTCCAGCCTGGGCGACAGAGCAAGACTCCATCTCAAAAAAAAAAAACAAAAAAACGATAGCCAACAACATAATTTTAAGAAACCTCTAGGCATGCATTCTCAACCTGGGCAATATCATCCCCAAGGGGTAAAAGGGTAAAAACTTTGTTCTTGCTAGTGATTGTGAGAGCCTTATTATTTCTTGCTCTTTTTGTGTATAAAGCATGAGTATATTACATATAGCACATGCATGGTATATAGTACATCTATGATGTTAATACTGTATTTCATGAGGTGGGATGGTAACTAAGAAAAATGTCTCCAAAAGCTACTTAGTGATTAATGATAAAGAAAAGGTTGAAAAATGCTGCTCCTGGGGATTAAAACATGTATTTATTTTTAAATATTCCATGATTCATAGTATGTTTAAATACTGAATTATGGCATGTAAACTGGGTGAGACATGAGACTATAAAGAAGACTGCAGGTAGTAATGGCAGAAAAAGCTCTTGCAATCTCCACAGTTGCTTATGACATTTCACTGCCATTGAGGGGTGAGCTGATACCTAATGGGAATTATATAAGGAAGTCACATGCTTCCTTCCAGTCCCTTAGACAACCCAAGTCTAGAGCAACAGGAAGGAGCTATGGAAGGCTTGTTAGGGATAGTGAAGGAAACACCATCCATATCCTAGCATGTGTTTTTAGTTTCAATGATGCATGCCCAAAAAACCTAATTGGCCCAGTGCTTAGAGGAACTACCTTCATCTCTTAAAACCAATATTCATTTTTTTCTCAAAGATAAGCATCTTACTAAGAAAAATTAATACAGCACATTTTATTCCCAGAAGAAACACATTATCTTTTTAGAAAGAAAAATTAAATAGAATATACTTCCTGTTTAGTAAACAGAGTAGAAGCAACAGTAATTGCACATCAAGGGCTGACCTTTTTCCAGGCATCGTGCTAAGCACTTACCAAGTAAACTATCTTGTATTCATACTTTAACCTGATAAGGTGGCAATTCCTATTTGACAGAAAAGGACACAGAAGTTTGGAGGGTTCAACGAAAGGTGACATGACTATTTCTCAAGGATAATGTAGAAAGTATTACCATATCAGAAGGAAGACTGTAATAAATAATCTCGAAGATCCCATTTAAATCTAAGTTTCTAAAATGTGCATTATTTTATTCCATTTTTATTGAAAATGCAGTCCTTAGTTATGCTGATATGCAGATAGACACTCTCGTCCACAGTAATACAGTTAGGAAAGCGAGCTGCCATTTTGACTTTGTGCTCCTCAGCCCTGTTTATCAGCACAATGCTTATAACTACATACCTGCCTCCCTGTTCTCACTGATGTCCTTCCTGAAACAGTGGTACTAGGAATAGAGGAATAAGAATCGTGGTAGACACCAGCATTATCTTTCACTTACGGTGCAACGTGTTACCTCATTTAATTCTCCTATCAACCCCACACAATAACCTGTGAAGGACGTACTATCTTATGGATGGGGACATGAAGTCTAGAGCAGTTAAGTGTCTTGTATTTAAGATCCCACAGCTAGCATATTAATTATGCTCTGTCATTTGACTTCTTCTACCCTGCTGCTCTGCCCATTATGCTAATCCCCCAGGCCTGGTAAAAGCCCTGAGTGCTGCAGAATATAAACAGAATCTGCCTTAGGAAGATGAAACTATAGGGGACATTTATACTTTCAAACTTTTGGCCATCCCATAAACATACGAATACCTTGTGAAAAACCGAAAAAGTAATCAGCATGCCCAGTTAGTCCAAACAATCTTCAACATGTCCTAAGTATCCTTTAATCCTTATCCCAAAGGGTCTACTTAGGCTGTGATAAAGTCCTCAGAGAGGTCACTCATCAAACTTACACCTATCCAAATCATACCTGTCTTTAAAACATTTTTCCAAGTCCCTCCCCAAACCAAGGGAACTTTCAGTGACTTGCATTTTAATTTCTTGCTTCTCTGAACTCCTGCTGCATTTACATAGAATCTAATACAATTAAATTCTCAACAGACTCTTAGCCTTAAAAAAATATGTATTCGATTTTTTCCATCTTATATAATAATGGGAAACTTCTCAAGAAAACACTGTGTTCTAAAGATAGACGTTAATTTCAAAAAAGATGGCAAAAAATGAGGAAAAAATATTAGGAGATTCTTAGGAAAAATGCATTGCAGCTAAATGTCACTCCGGTATTCTAACCCACTGTATTTTCAACCTTTCTGTAGAAATAAAATAGGGAGATAATGAAAAAAGAAATAACGGAGTGAGAAAAGATACGTTTAAAAAAGAGATACAATTGAAAAGCAGAAGATCATTAAAACAAGTAAAACTGAAACTCAGACTAAATTACATACAGTCTTGCTATGGTTTTGACATCTTTCCTGCCCTTATTTTTTAACAGTATGACAATTTTTCCAGTTTCCATAGTAGTATTAAAATGTTGAACTCCTGAAATGCAGCCACAAATGTGGCCTAGAAGTTGAAGGAGTTTTGAATTGTCAGATAGTACATGGATCATTAGCCATTTTCAGGAAGAAAGGGGCCAAAAAATGGATTTTGACATAAGTAAAGTTGAGAACATGATTCATGAGCTTGTTCCAAAGATTCTTTCTGGGTTATTTAAAGCACTCAGCTGAATAGATTTTACTGGTTCATTTTCCTAAGCAAAGTCATGTTTCTTGAGGGGTAGAAAGAGTAAAGGGGTACAGAGAGCAAATTCTCAGTTTTACATTACAGTAAATTATTAAAACGTGACATTTTATGACTTAAAATAATTTTAAAGAAGACTGTTATTGGCTGAATTGTGTTCCTTTAAAATTCATATATTGAAACCTTAGCCCTCTGTTTTTCATAGTGTAACTATATTTGAAGATAGAGCCTTTAAAGAGGTAATTAGGTTAAAATGAGGCTGTTGAAGTAGACCTTAATCCAATCAACTGGTGTCCTTAGCAGAAAACAAACTCTGGACACACAAAGAGACAACCATGTGAAGAGGCAGCAGTAGGGCAGCCATCTGCAAGCCAAGGAGAGAGGCCTCAGAGAAAAACCTACCCTGCTGGCACCTTAGTCTTGGACTTCCAGCCTCCAAAACTCTGAGAAAATAAATTTCTGATGTTTGACCACACAGCCTGTGGCATTTTTTAATGGTAGCTCTAGCAAACTACTACAAAGATCTAGAAGAAAACTTGCATTGCAAGCCTGTTACAAATAACAAATCTGCATTTTCTAAGTATAATTATTCTCACATCAAATTACTTTATGTTTAAGTGATAACAATTTATTTTATGTAGCTAACTAAAAAGTGATGCTTCTTTCAATTTTAGAATATTTGCTCTGAAGTAAAGTAAAACTGTGTAATTTAAATAATTTCCCACCCATGTCTACATTTTCACCATAATTGAAATGATGGAAGTACAATGAAGTAATGAAGTTTGGAAGTATTGTATATATGTAGACATAAAATTTTAACTTTTCTTAACATCAACAACAACAAATAGGTGCTTTTATTTGGAGGCAGAGCCATGGGTTAGGACTAGAAAAAGTAGATGCAACATTATTTTAAAAAGAAAAAAAGTGCTCATTTTTCTGTGCTTGTTTCTTCATTAGCACATGAAAGAACTAAATAAACAGATCTAATATTGTAAAATAGAATTTGCAAGAAAGTACATATTTTGCTGAACTATGCTATAGATAAGTTCTTTACTTGTCTTTCCCAAAATCTTTTCGTTATTTTGAAGATATAATTAAAATAATTATAAAGTAATAACAGCACGTATTATGCACATCATATATACCACAAATAATGAAATTGGTACAATTCTTACCCCTGTTTTACATATGAGGTTATTTAAGCATAGGCAGATTAAATAAATTGCCAAAGATTTCATCTTATAAGCCAGGAATGGATCATAAATAATTATCCTCTAGAGCCCAAACTCTTAGCTTCTATGCTTTATTGAATTAAATTAAATATACTCTAATTTTTTGAAATCATTTGAAACAGTGCCTTTGCACAAAGACCTAAATATACTGTGAGTCAAATTTACCCTTTACAACTTTAGAAATAGCATATTGTTAAATCAAATTTGGTCAGCCTATAGGGATGAAACAAGCGTCTACAAAAAGTTCCCTCTATAAGTTTTATTTATAAGAAATACCGTATTTAGTTTTCTTTACCTTTGCATATTGTATTTCCCTTCCTTCCTAAACATTCAAGTAACTCTTCCTATATTCATTAGCTCAAAAGTAGAATTTTCCACCCCTCTCCAGTTCATTTAGATTCTAAAGTTCATATTAGCTCCTAAGTTTGTTGAAGTTGTTTATACTTTATGCAAATTTACTTGGTTCCTCTCATTTTAACCTAAAATTCAAAACTCCATTACCTGAGTGCTTTCCTTGAGGTTCACAGCCAATGTTTCTGTTTTCATGAGATTCCATTCATATAGCATATTTTTCTTCCATACCTCTGGTTCCTCAGTCAGCTCATATTACTGATTGCTTCCATTCTTTTATAACATTTGAAATTTACCTTAAGTGTTGGTAATCCTCTCCCCCAGCTTCATTTAAGGAGCAGGTATCAAATTAACTCTGATTCTGCCATTATATACGTTATGAAATTCCTGTCTACTGGGATTTTGATTTGTGAAATCTACATTCCATGTTGCTTAAAAGATACTGATATCTACAAAGATGCATCATTCTGGATTCTGAAAATGTGAATTGGATATAATTTCTATAAAAAATATGGCTACATTTTAGTTTGAGCATTCCTTCATTGAAAATGATTTTTTAATATCTCGTACTTTTCCATCTCTTAAAAAATGTCATATTCTTAACCCAAATCTGGTCTTCTGAACTTTGTGGTTGATAATGTCATTTTGTCATTAATGTGCATTTAATTGATCGATTTTATACTTCCAATATTGATCAATTTTATATTTGCAATTTTAGCTATTATTCGGGGTACATAAACATTGACCAGGATCTTCAAGGAACTTACAGTTAAATAGAAAATTTTTATTAATATTGAAATTTTTTTTGATCTTTGAAGATGAGATTTATTCAGCATAAAACCACTTGATAGTTCTCATAAAATTAATTTCTATTATTTTAAAACAGATGTCTTCTTATCAAAATAGTCTTTCTTGATGTTATTAGCATAACTAGGCGCATGGGAGACAAATACTATTTTGCAATGATTTGCCTTGCATTTATCTGCCTTCTGGAGGAAAATATTTCTTAATGGCACTGGCCTGGTATTATCAGTCATGAGAGAAAAGCCAAAATTTCACATAAGCTACCAAAAAAAAAATAATAACTAAACATGGGATAATACCCACCCATTTACTCTATTTCATTCATTCAACCAATTCCTTTTTTTTTTTTTTTTTTTTTTTAAAGGCAGGGCTACTATGTGCCAGTAATAAAGGTAATAGATGTTTGGGCTCAGTCAATGAACCAAAGAAACTAGAGACAGACAATAAAAAATAAACATGAAAAGCATGATATGTCAGAAGATAAGGGCTATGGAAAAAATATTTTTATATACAGCATAAAGTCTATTAATTTTAAAAATGGATCAGAATAATAAGAGAGGCTGAGCATATGAGAAATGCTCAAATTTAAGGGGATTAAAGTAGACCACTGTATTGAGTAAATACTTAAAAAAAGTACAGAAGTTAGTTTATATAGCTATCTTAGGGAAGAGAATTCCAAGCAGAGGGCATAGCCCAAGCAAAGAACTACAGTGGGAAGAAGCCCATATGTTGGAGAAAGAACAAGAGGGCCACTGAGGCTAGAATGAAGTAAGCCAAGAGACAGTGGTAAGAAAGTAGTTCAGACAGGTCAGCAGCAGGGGTTGGGTAGGGAGACAGATCATGTAGGGCCTTGAGGACCATTGTATTGATAAGAATTTGGACTTTGTATTAGAGTGAATGGAAGAGCTATTGCAGAGTGTAAAGTGAAGGAATGGCACAGCCTTGTACTTTACTTTCTGTTTTTTTCTGTGACAAAATATACTTTGTTCAACAAGGAGAGCAACAAGGAAACTAGAGAGATGACTACAGAAATCCTGTTGAGAAGATGGTAACTGTGACTAGAGGACTATGACCAGTCTAAACAGACTGAGAGCGAAGTGAGTTGCAGTGGTCAGATTCTGAAGACACCCACATAAATATGCTTATGTAATAATCTTTTCTCTTTTTATTATGAAAAATTCAAGCATGAAAAATGTTGGAATAATGCAATAAGCATTCATTTTCCAGCATCTAGGTCTAACGCTCTAGATAGATCTAGCAAAATATTTATCTTTCTAACGTATTTGAAAGTTGCAGACAGCCTCTCTTTTCATCTTGGCTTACTTCAGCATCTGAAAGGTAGGAATTCTGTAATATCACTTAATATCCAGTTCATTTTCAAATTGTGTGAATTACTGTAAAAAGATCTGTTTTGACAATATGAAGAGTGTATGTGTGGAGATGTATATGATTGCAAGTCAAGATCAAATCGAGGTTCATGCAATATTTGAATGTTAAATCTCTTTTAATATAGAAGTAATTCATTAATAAAAAGAATCTCTTTTAATATGTTTTGTTTGTCATTTCATTCCCTCGAAGAGTTCAGAAATTTTGTCTTGTAGAAAGTTACCCACATTAGGCTGGGTGTGGTGGCTCATGCCTGTAATCCCAGCACCTTGGGAGGTTGAGGCGAGCGGATCACGAGGTCAGGAGATTGAGATCATCCTGGCTAACACTGTGACACCCCGTCTCTACTAAAAATACAAAAATTAGCTGGGCATGGTGGTAGGCACCTGTAGTCCTAGCTACTTGGGAGGCTGAGGAAGGAGAATGGCATGAACCCAGGAGGCGGAGGTTGCAGTGAGCTGAGATTGTGCCACTGCAATCCAGCCTGGGCAACAGAGCGAGACTCTGTTAAAAAAAAAAAAAAAAAGAAAGAAAGAAAAGAAGAAAGAAAGAAAGTTACCCGCATTAGACTTGTCTGATTGTTAATTGTGGTATTATTTAACTTTCTTAGTATTTTCTAGAAATTGATAGTTAGGTGTAATGGCTTGACTAAAGGCAATTTAAATACTGTTGACAAGATTTCATTGATACAGCTACAGCTATGAACTGGATAATACAACATATGAAGAGGCACATAATACTTTGTTATCCAGCTGTTACAGATGCTAGAACGATGTACAGTCAGAGGCCATTTGAAATATTGTTTTTATTCTGAGTGGAATTTTAACCATTTGATATACAGGTAGATGACTTTGTTTCCATTTGTTTTCAATTGTGAGGTCTGTTTTATTTATTTTTGAATTTATAAAACATTCTCATGGTTCAAAAGTCAAAAAGTTACTAATAAGTATACTTACCAAAATCTTACTCCATCCATATGCTCTCTACCTTATACTCTTTCACCCCTGTAGATAAGGGGGTGACAAATTTGTAAAAGGCCAATGAATAAATACTTTAGACTTTACAGGCCATATAGTGGTCCCCATGGCACTACCCAATTCCGCTGTTGTAGAATTGTGAGAAAGCAACCACAGGCAATATATACCTAAATGGGTATGGCTGTGGCCCAATAAAGCTATATGTAAAAACGTGATTGTTTTTGGCCTGTGGGTCATATTTTGCTGAGCTATGCAGCCACATTCATTGTTTCTTTTTGTATCTTATTTTTCTTCCTTAAACAAAAATAGCATAGTGTATACACTGTTCTCTAATTTTATTTAAATCACACACCGCCACGCACACACTCCCAAGCATAATATCCATGAATATTCTCCTAATTCTTTTTTATAATTATATAGTGAATAAACACACACACACATATGTGTGTGTATATATATGTATGTGTGTGTGTGTACATATATATGTATATATGTGTAATGTATGTGTTTGTGTAGATAGATAGATAGATAGATAGATAGATAGATAGATAGATAGATAGATAGATAGATGGATATTCAGAGGAGATTCCTGGAAGTAGAACTGTCGGGCCAAAAGGAAACACATCTGTAATTCTGTTCAGTATTTCAAAATTCCTCTCCACATAGGCTGTACCATTTTGCACTCCCAATGTCAAATATATGAGCATGCTGATTTTTTCTCAGTCTTGCCAACAGATTGTGCTGTCAAGCTTTTGAACTTTTGCCAAGATTATATATGAGAAATAGTATCTCAGTGTAGCTTTAATTCTCATTTATCTTATTATGAATGAAATTGAACATCTTTTCATACACTGAAGGGCCATTAGCTGTTCTGCTTCTGTGAACTGTCTGTTCTTTTGTGCTCCTTTTTTTATTGGGTTTCAGGATGTATTTTCAAATTAGAGCCAACTGGGTTTTCTAACAGATTGAATGTGATGTTTGAGAAAATAGATAAATCGAGTATAATCAACGTCTTTGTATTCCGCAACTGGAAAGATTAAGCTACCTTTAAGTGGGATGAGGAAAGGTGTGGTTAAGGCAGCTTTCAGATTATCAGATCAAGGGATCAAGAGTTCAGGTTTGGACATTGTTGAGTTAATGCTGTCTATTAAATATCCAAATAAAGAAAAAGAGAGGTATCAGGATATGAGTCTAGATGTGGTAGAGAAGTCTGTACTAGAGATGGAAAGCTAGGATTCATTGCATAGAGATGTGAGTGAGTACCATGAGACTAATGAGGTCACAAAGTGAGTGTGGGTAGAGATGAGAAGAAAACCAAGGATTGAGCCCTGAATCTTTTGATATTAAAGGTTAGAGAGAAAAGAAACTCCAGTACACCACCAGTAAGGTAGAAGGAAATCAAGAGAATAAGGCATCCTGAAGGCAAGTAAAGAATCTGTATAGAAGAGAAATACATGACCAAGGCTGGTAATAAGTTTAGGAAGATGAGGACAGTAATTTAGCATTTTATGTTAAGTTGTGATATTTACTTATTTATTACTAAATTTTAAATTTAATGGCCTTGGAAGGCAACAGTTTGATAGAGGGGAAAGCTATAAAATCTGATGATTTTGTCAGACTGGAAAGCAAATTAAATAATCCTTGAATTTAGAGAAGGCAACCAGAAGTTGATTGCAACAGGAAATCATCCTCATTGTATGTCAGTAATAAATCCCCCTTGAACCTATGCAAAATGCTTCTTTATAGAAATGTAATATAATATTCGTTTTTCTCTCCCCTTCAGTTAAAGTCTAGTATTTGCTATATAGCCACGTCTTAGAAAGTTCCAAACAACAATAATAATCCCTTCTTCGAGAAAATTATAATTTACAGGGGCCAGTCGTGGTGGCTCACGCCTGTAATCCCAGCACCTTGGGAGGCCGAGGCGCGCGGATCACGAGGTCAGGAGATCCAGACCATCCTGGCTAACACAGTGAAACCTCGTCTCTACTAAAAATACAAAAATTAGCCAGGCGGGGTTGTGGGCGCCTGTAGCCCCAGCTACTCTGGAGGCTGAGGCAGGAGAATGGCGTGGACCCGGGAGGTGGAGCTTGCAGGGAGCCGAGATCGCGCCACTGCACTCCAGCCTGGGCAACAGAGCCAGACTCCGTCTCAAAAAACAAAAAAGCAACAACAAAAAACCAAACAGAAAATTATAACTTATATTGGTAAAAATATTAAAAAGTATAAATTTAAAGAATTACAACTGTAAACAACCCCTAAATATTTCAGTGGGAACAGTTTACAAAATAGTACATGAATAACTAGCAAATAAATTGTATAGATAATCATTATACTTTCTATGAATACATTAAGGGAAAGAGATCACTTTAGCACTTTAGGCTAAATTATTTTCTGCTTCTGCAAGGAAAAGAAAGGCTTCCAAAAACAAGAGAATTTTGAACATTACCAGATAAATAATTGTGAAACTATTAATAAAATGTTATTGTTACCATTAAGATGATTGTCTTAGCACTTTTACAAATAATTTCGGATCAAAAAGTGTTTGAACTTTCAGCAAACCATAGGTAATGCTGTTTCTGTTCCTTCTGGTCAGTCAGCTTATTACTGAGTACCCATGCTGTATCAAGCATGTGACCTGATGGGAGGATGGTGGCTGTTGACAAGTCGAAAGGTCTGTACTCCTGGAATTCACTCCAGAGCCTCAATTCAGAACTGATTTCCTTCACTCTCATTTTTTTCTAGCTGGCTCTTCACCATCTGTAACATTTATTTGCACAGCAAAACTTTCTCTAGACTCCCAGACAAGCATGTGGCCCTGTCATTTGCTCTCTTTTTCCTCAGAATTTTCCCTTACATAATTTACTTATCTTTCTTGAAGCACTATATGTTTTGCTTGTTCTGAAATATAAGCTCCCTGAGGAAAGGAACCATACTTATCTTCTTTGTTACTGGATTGCAAGGTGACTTTGCAGCTAGAAAGTGCACAACAAAGATTTGTTGAAGAAGTGAAAGAATAAATATTGGCATTTTATATGCCATTATACCTATGAGTCCCTTTCTATGCCATCCACACATGTGTAAGTTATTTAAGTGCCCACTTTGATATTTATTTAGTACTTTCAAGACCAATTTTTATAAATAAAAATTACATAAACCAGATATTTTAAGGATAGCAATGGGATGCTATTGGAGGGGTAGCTTTCAATATGAGATATTGGTAGCTAGATAACACAGAAGGAAAATGATGATTTCATAAATAAAAAAGTTGTTAGAAAATAAGGGTAAATCTGTACACAGTTCATTTTGAGTATAAAAAGCATCTTTAAGAAAAATCCATATAAATCTCTGTGGAAAATAAAATTGGTTCCATATTCTAAAATGATTTTTTATTAATTTTATTTACTTTAAAATATAGTTTTTTATTTTATAATTTTTGTGTAATATATCTTATTAAATTGATTCATGTTTATATTTTATTCATTTAAAATTTTTTTAATTTTTATTTTAGATTCAAGGGTACATATGCAGGTTTGTTATATAGGTAAATTGCATGTAATGGTGGTTTGGTGTACAGATTATTTTACCACCCAGCTAATAAACATAGTATCTGATAGGTAGTTTTTTGATCCTCACCCTCCTCCCACCCTCCCCTCTCAAGTATGCCCTGGTATCTCTTGTTACCTTCATTGTGTCCATATGTACTCAATATTTAGCTCTCACTTGTAAGTGAGAAGATGTGGTATTTGTTTTTCTGTCCCTGTGTTAGTTCACTTAAGGTAATGAATTCCAACTCCATCCATGTTGCTGCAAAAGAGACAATTTTGTTCATATTTACGGCTGCATAGTATTTCATGGTATATATGTACCACATTTTCTTTATTCAGTCTACTGTTCATGGGAATTTAGATTGATTCCACATCTTTGCTATTGTGACTAGTGCTGCAGTGAACATACACATGCATGTGTCTTTATAGAGAACAATTTCTATTCTTTTGGTTATATGTCCATTAATGGGATTGCTGGGTCAAATGGTGATTCTGCTTTGAGTTCTTTGAGAAATCCCCAAAGTGTTTTTAACAGTGGCTGAACTAATTTACATTCCCACCATCAGTTTCTTCGTAACTTCACCAGCATCTATAATTTTTTGACTTCTTAATAATAGCCATTCTGAGTAGTGTAATGTGGTATCTTATTGTGGTTTTGGTTTGCATTTCTCTAATAATTAGTGATGTTGAGCATTTTTTCATATGCTTCTTGGCTGGGCGTATGTCTTCTTTTGAAAAGTGTCTGCTTATGTCCTTTGCCCACCGTTTCATATTTGTTTTTTGTTTGTAGATTTGTTTAAGTTCCTTATAGATTCTGGATAATACACCTTTGTCAGATGCATAGTTTGCAAATACTGTCACCCATTCCATAGGTTATCTGTTTGCTCTGTTGATAGTTTCTTTTGCTGTGCAGAAGCTCTTTAGTTTAATTAGGTCCCATTTGTCAATTTTTGTTTTTGTTGCCATTGCTTTTGGTATCGTCGTCATGAAATCTTTGCCAGGTCTTATGTTCAGAACAGTATTTCCTAGATTATCCTCCAGGGTTTTTATAGTTTTAGGTTTTCTACTGAAGTTTTCAATCCATCTTGAGTTTATTTTTATATATGGTGTAAGGAAGGGGTCTAGTTTTAATCTTCTTCATATTACTAACCAGTTATCCCAGCACCATTTATTGAACAGGGAGTCCATTCCCCATTGCTTGTTTTGGTCAACTTTGTCAGATTTCAGATTGTTGTAGGTGTGAAGCATTATTTCTTGGCTCTATATTCTGCTCCATTGAGCTACATGTCTGTCTTTCTACCAGTACCATGCTGTTTTGGTGAGTGTGGCCTTGTGCAATTTGAAGTCAGGTAACATGATGCTGGCTAGCTTTTTCCTTTTTGCTTAGGATTGCTTTAGCTATTAAAGCTCTTTGTTTTTGATTCCATATGAATTTTTCAGTAGTTTTCTTCTAACTCTGTGAAGAATGTCATTAGGAGTTTGGTAGGAATAGCACTGAATCTGTAAATTGCTTTGGGCAGTATGGCCGTTTTAAAAATATTGATTCTTCTTATCTATGAGCATGAAATATTTTTACATTTGTTTGTGTCATCTCTCACTTCTTTGAGTAGTGTTATGTAATTCGCATTGTAGAGATATTTTGCCTCCCTGATTAGCTGTATTCCTAGATATTTTATTATTTTTGTGGCTATTGTGAATGGGATTACATTCCTGACTTGGCTCTCAGCTTGGATGTTGTTGGTGTATAGGAATGTTACTGACTTTTGTATGTTGATTTTGTACCCTGAGACTTTGCTAAAGCTGTTTATCAGATCAAGAGGCTTTGGGGCAGAGACTGCGGGGTTTTCTAGGTATAGAATCATATAATCTGCAAATAGGGATAGTTTGACTTCCTTTCTTCGTATATGGATGCCTTTTTTTTTCTCCTGCCTGATTGCTCTGGTGAGGGATTCTAGTACTGTGTTGAATAAGAGTGGTTTGAGGGGGCATTCTTGTCTTGTTCTGGTTCTCAAAAAGAATGCTTCCAGCTTCTGCCCATTCAGTGTGATGCTGGCTGTGGGTTTGATATGGATAGCTTTTATTATTTTGAAGTATGTTCATTCAATGCCTAGTTTGTTGGGGTTTTCTTAAGATAAAGCGATGTTGGATTTTATCGAAAGCTTTTTTCTGCATCTATTGAGATAATCATGTGGTTGTGTTTTTAGTTCTGTTTATGTGATGAATCACATGTACTGATTTATGTAGGTTGAACCAACCTTGTATCCTAGGGATAATGCTTACTTGATCATGGTGGATTAGCTTTTTCATGTGCTGCTGGATTCAGTTGGCTATTATTTTGTTGAGGATTTTTACATCTATGTTCATCAAGGATATTGGCCTGAAGTTTGTGTGTGTGTGTGTGTGTGTGTGTCTCCCAAGCTTTGGTATCAGGATGATGTTGACCTCATAGAATGAGTTAGAGAGTAGCCCTTGCACCTCCATTTTCAGGAATAGTTTCACTAAGAATTGTACCAGCTTTTCTTTATACATCTGGTAGAATTTACTGTCAATCTGTCTGGTCCTGGGCTTTTTTTGGTTGGCAGACTTTTTGTTACTGATTCAATTTTGGAACTCATTATCAATCTGTTCAAGGATTCGATTTCTTCCTGCTTCAGTTTTAGGAGACTGTATGTGTCCAGTAATTTACCCATTTATTGTAGGTTTTCTAGATTGTGTGCATAGAGATTTTTCTAATGGTCTCTTAGGGTTTTTTTGTTTGTTTGTTTAAGGAATGAAGGGTTTTATTGAAAATGAAAATATACTTCACAGTGTGGGCCCGAACATAGAGGGTCAAAGGCCCTGTTACAGAGTTTTTTGTGAGTTTAAATACCCTCTACTTGGGGTATGCCCTATGTAGATGAAGAGAATGAAGTAAAGTTACAAAGTCATTTACTCAGTGTCTGCCCTATGGAGAGGATATTTCCTGTTATAGCTGAAATGTGAATTGGCCTTATATTCCCTGCTTCCAGACTCTACTTTCCTGCCTCATCTCCCCACTTAGAGATGTGATCCTCATAAATCGTATGGGAGGCAAAGGGACCAATGGTCTTTTTTTCTGCAACTGCTTCATGCTGACTTGGGGCATAGTCTCTACCTACTGGGGACCACAGAACTCTAGCCCTGCTCTATCTAGTGGAGGCAGGGTAGTTTCTTGATGGCCAGGGTTGGTGTCCACCTGGAACTGGCTGGAGCCTTTGTTGCATGATCATCTGAAGCTTGATTGTCTCTCAGGGGTTCCAATGGGTGTACAGTTCCAAAGTATGGAGGGACCCTTCTCAGTTGCGAGACCATGAACCCAAAGTTCAAGGTCCCAAAGTTTTGTTGTAGTGTGGATGCCAAGAACAGTCTTTCTCTGATGTTTCCAGAAGATTCAAATCATAAATAGCTTTCTTTACCCTTTTGCCAGCATGCCAGGCTTCTGGGTTCTCTCTCCCTGAGTGAGTGGCCCTAGTGAACCTGCATTACTCTTCCTCCTGGCTGGCTCACCAAAATATGTTAACAGTGGAAGGTGTCCAAGTTCTTGACATCTTGAACAAAGAATTGGACAAAATGCACAAACAAAGCAAGGAAGGAATGAAGGGTTTTATTGAATGTGAAAGTATACTCCACAGTCTGGGAGCGGGCCTGAGCAATGGGGCTCAAAGTCCTCTCTGAGGGTCTTTTTGTGTTTCTGTCAGGTCAGTGGTAATGTCTCTTTTGATATGTCTGATTGTGTTTATTTGAATCTTCTCTTTTTTCTTTATTCATCTAACTTGCACTCTATATATCTTATTATTTATTTCAATAAACCAGCTGCTGTATTTGTTAATCTTTTGTATAATTTTTTGCATCTCAATTGAGTTCAATTCAGGTTTGGTTTTAGTTATTTCTTGTCTTATGCTAGCTTTGGGGTTGGTTTGCTTTTGTTTTTCTAGTTCCTCTAGTTGCAATGTTGGGTTGTTAATTTAAGATCTTTTTAAAATTTTTGATGTGGGCATTTAGTGCTGTAAACTTCCCTCTTAACCCTGCATTAGGTGTTTCCAAGATTCTGGTGTGTTGTATCTTTGTCCATATTATATTCAATGTATTTCTTGATTTCTTTCTTAATTTCATTATTTACCCAATAGTCATTCAGGAGCAGGTTGTTTAATTTCCATGTAATTATATGGTTTTGAGCAATTTTATTAATACTGACTTCTATTTTTGCTGTGCTATGGTCCAAGAGCGTAGTTAGTATGATTTTGATTTTCTTTAAATTTGCTGAGAATTATTTTGTGTCCAATTGTGTGGTTGATTTTAGAGTTTCTGCTGTATATAGATGAGAAGAATGTATATTCTATTCTTTTTGGGTGGAATATTCTATAGATCTCCATTAGGTCCATTTGGTCAAGTGGTGAATTCGGTTCCTGAATATCTTCATTAGTTTTCTGCTTTAATGATCTGTCTAATACTACCATTAGGGTATTTAAATCTCCTACAAGTATTTTGTATTTATCTAATTCTCTTCACAGGTCTCTAAGAACTTGTTTTATAAATATTGGTGCTCCTCTGTTGGGTGTATATATATATTTAGGATATTTAGGTCTTCTTGTTGGATTGAGCCCTTTACCATTATGCAACGCCTTTCTTTTTCTTCTCTAATCTTTGCTGGTTTAAACTCTGCTTTGTCTGAAATTAGAATAGTAACACCTGCTTATTTCTGTTTTCCATTTGCTTTGGAGATTTTTCTCTATTCCTTTTCTTTGAGCTTATGGGTGTCATTGCATGTGGGATAGGTCTTAGTCTCTTGAAGACAGCAAACCACTGGGTCTTGATCCTTTGTCCAGCCTACCACTCTGTGCCTTTTAATTGGGCCATTTAACCCATTTACATTCAAATTTAGTATTGATATGTATGGATTTGTTTCTGTCATCATGTTGTTAGCTGGTTATCATGCAGGCTTGTTTATATGGTTGCTTTATAGTGTCGCTGGTCGATGTAGTTAAGTGTGTTTTTGTAGTGGCCAGTAACAGTCTTTCCTTTCCATGTTTAGCACTCCCTTCAGGACTTCTTATAAGGTAAGTCTGGTGGTAACAAAATCCTTTAGCATTTTCTTGTCTGAAAATGATCTTATTTCTCCTTCACTTATGAAGCTTAGTTGGCTGAACATAAAATTCTTGCTTGGAAATTATTTTCTTTAAGAATGTTGAATATAGGTCCCCATTCTCTTCTGGCTTGTTAGGGTTTCTGGTGAACTGTCTGCTGTTAGCTTGATGGGGTTCCCTTTGTAGGTGGCTTTCCCCTTCTCTCTAACTGCCTTTGTGATTTTTCTTTAATTTAGACCTTGGAGAATCTGATGACTACATGTCTTGGGAATGGTATTCTTGCATAGTATGTCACAGGAGTTATCTGCCTTTCCTGAGTTAAAATATAGGCTTCTCAAGCGATTTTGTGGAAATTTTCATGGACAATATCCTGAAATATGTTTCCCATGTTTTGTTCCTATCTCTTTCAGGGATGCCAGTGAGCCATAGATTTGGTCTGCTGACATAATTCCATATTTCTCAGAGACTTTGTTCTTTCTTTTTTACTATTTTTATTATTTTTGTCTGAGTTAGTTTGGAGAACCAATTTCAAGCTCTGAGATTCTTTGCTCAGCTTGATCTGTTCTACTGTTAATATTTGTGATTGCATTACGAAATTCTTATACTGTGTTTCTCAGTTTTACTAGGTCGTTTTGTTCTTTCTGATAATGGCCATTTAGTCTATAAGCTTCTCTATCATTTTATTGTAATCCTTAGATTCCTTCGATTGAGTTTCAACATTCCCCTGAATCCTGATGATCTTTGTTCTTATTTATATTTTGAATCCAATTTATGTCATTTCAGCCATTTAAGCTTGGTTAAGAACCCTTGCTGGGGAACTGGTGAGGTCATTTGGATGAAAGAGGACACTTTGGCTTTTTGAATTGTCAGAGTTTCTTGGGCTGGTTCTTTCTCATCTGTGTAGACTGATGATCCTCTAACTGTGGTGTGATTTGAGTACAGTTGGTAGACTAGTTTTCTGGATGTTTTCAGTGGGCCAAGGCTTTGTCCAGGGTCTATCTTTGTAGCTGAATTCTTGTCCTTAGTTTTACGGGGGGGTATATCAACAAAGTATTTTTGGTGTTGACGTCTGGGCTGTGATCTAGTATTTGATGCTTAAGTAAAATGGTAGTAGGTACTCTCTTGCTCAGCCAGGTGGCCCCTCTATATTTCCTCAGGATTGCAGCCATGTTCCCTCTCAGTGCTCTGAAAGGGTGAGCTCCTTTCCCACTCAAGTGCTGGCTGCAGGTCTCAGCTTGACATTCTGGAGTTAGACACCACAGTTATAGGGTGAGCTCAGGCTTTATGTTCCTTCCCAGATGGAGGGAGCAGGGGAAGGGAATTTGACAGTTGCTGTGGCAGACGCCTTTCACTTGTCTCTTGGGGATCCACCCCATAGAAATGCAGAGCTGCTACCAATCAGTGCAGTTGGCCCAGTGTGGGGTGGTTACATTGTGGGCCCAAGCCTAGGTCCCCGCCTAGTGACAAGCAGGGAGGGCAGGAGGCTTGTTAGGCAGACAAACTTGCCTCTCCTCCTTAGGGCAGCTGTGGTGTGCTGGAGGTGTGATTAAAGTACTCAGAGTCTTCATTCCTTCCCCAGTCCAAGGGCAATAAGGGCAGTACCACTGCAGCAGCAGGGGCACAGGGGCTTTCAGTTGCCCCAGGGAGCTGCACCTCAGAGAAACTGCTATGGGGAATGTTCAGCCAGAGGTGCTGAGGCTGAACACTCACATGGAAAACAGTCTAAACAGTCTGGCCACTTTTCCATAAGGCAGTTGCACTGTGTTGGGGGTCTGCATTAGTCCCTCATCACTACATGCCCTCTGGAGCCTAAGGGCAACAGGAGCGAGGGATGCAGAGTAGCAAAATGGTGTCCTGCCTGCTCCCTCTGGGAGCTCTGTCCCACAAAAGTGCAGAGCTGCTACTGGCCCAAGAGCCCAGGTCAGTGGTGACTGGAGTCCCAGGTCAAGAGGCCCTGCCCAGTGAGGAGTAGCAGGATTGGAGATTCTTGTGGAAAACAGTCTGGCTGCTCTCCGTAAAGTGACTGCCCTCTGCTGGGGGTCTGCTTTAGCTAAAACGACTTGAAACAACAGACACGTAGACTTTAAAAATCAGACCTGTACTTGACTGAAGCACTGCTCTTTTTGTAAATAGGGTAATAATGATACCATAGTCACCCAGGCGGTAAAATCTGACCATTTAAAGGGTTACAAAGCATCCATTTTTAATAGGAAAATCACAAACTCCTAAAATTCCCCATTTTGACTGTTGACAAAATCGTGTTTTAGGGGGTGCAGGGGGAGATAGAGGTAGAAGAACTTATGAAAGCAAGAAATCTACTGTAATAAAATGCCAGGAAGCTTCAGAGAAATGAGATACTAATGTTGACTGAGGTAGAAAAAATACGAATGATACAATCTAAACTTTGTTTAGGACAGATAGGGATCATGCAGTTGTACAATGCCTGATACTTAGGCCCAATGCTTGGATTAATGCTTTATTATTGCCATCTTGAAATTCTTAATAATACTTGTACAAGGAGGCTTGCATTTTCTTTTGCACTGGACCAAGCTAATTATATACCCAGTTTTGAGGACAAATCATTGTTAGAAGGATTGTTGCAAAAAAGAAAATAACGCAAGCAAAGGATTATAATGGGGGCAGGGATTTCAATTTTATTAGAGTGAAAATTTCATAGAAAGGCAAGACTGTTTTTCAAAAGGAAAGGAAGGATATTAGACATGAACCCCAACAGCATGGGGCAACTCATATCTCCTGTAATTTATAACATCTACTTCTATCTATCTATCTGTATTTTAATTACTGGATGCTGATTTACACAGCTTGATCAATGCTGCAATGCTAATGTCTTGAGGACTCAGGATTTATTTTATTGTGAACTAGTTATGCAAATGAAATAAAATGACTCAGGAAAAGAAAGGGAGAAGGAGAAGAAACACTAACAAAGCCCTGGTTTGATTACTTGCTGTAGCTCTCTTCTCTCATATTCTACCCACAAAACCTTGTGACATTCTGATTGTCCAAGGAAATACCTTTGATGTTATTAACCAGGCTTCTAAGTGTTTATTAGTATTGTGAATAGTCAAACTGGCATCATGTGAATAATATCCACAGTCAAAATCTATTCTGCTACTATGTATCTTATACACAAATGTGGAACAGTGAAGAAGTAATAAGCGGATAGGGCATGCTATCTGTACATGGACAAGGGCAAGATATTGCTCATTTTAATTAGAATTGACCAGTATGATTGTGTCAGAGTCATTGTTCTACTGAAGCATGTTTTAAAATTTAAATTATTTTGGTAGTTTGCATTAACTTCAAATAAGTGTTCTCAGTGATAATATCACAATACATAGTACATTCAGACGGATAATTATTCACACAGTGACATGACAAAAAACCTGGACTGTTTCTTGTCAAAAAAGCAATCATTTCTAGTCAACTCATCTTTGACAAAGAAGCAAAGACAACTCTATTGAGAAAGGATATTCTTTCAACAAAAGGTGCTACAAAAAATGGACATCAACACATTACAAAAATGAATTTAGATGTTGATTTTTACATCTTTCATAAAAACTAACTCCAGAAGGGTCATAGACCTAAATGTAAAACACAAAAGTATAAAACTCCTAGAAGATAGCATAGGAGAAAATCTAGGTCACCCTAGGTTGGTAAAGCATTTTCGAAGCACAATCAATGAAGGAAAAGAATTATGAGTTGGACTTCACTAAAATATAAATCTGCTCTGTGAAATACACATTTAAGAAAATGTAAAGACAAGCCACAGACTGGGAGAAAATGTTTCCAAAAAGCATATCTGGTAAAGAACTTGTATCCAAAATATACAAAGAATTCTTAAAACTCAATAAAAAGAAAGCAAACAACCAGCCTAGCCAACATGGCAAAACCCTGACTCTGCTGAAAAAAAATTAAAAATAAAATTATCTGGGCATGGCGGTGCATGCTTGTAGTCCCAACTCTTCAGGAGACTAAGGCAAAAGAATTGTTTGAACCCAGGAGGTGGAGTTTGCAGTGCACTGAGATTGTGCCACTGCACTCCAGCCTGGGTGACAAAGCAACTCTCTGTCTGAAAAGTAACAACAACAACAACAACAACAACAAATAGAAAGCAAACAAACCAATTAAAAGTGAGCAAAAGATCTCCAAGGAGACCTCCCTGAAAGAGCTATGGAGATGGCAAACAACCATATGAAAGGATGATCAATATTATATGTTATTAGACAACTACCAATTAAAGCCACAATGAGATACCCCACACACCTATTAGATCAGCTAAAACCCAAAACTGACAACACCAAATGCTGACAAGTATGTGGAGCAACAGGAACTCTCATTTATTACTGGTGAGAATGAAACATGATATAGCCACTTTGGAAGATGGTTTTGCAGTTTCTTCCAAAGGTAAACACAGTCTTACAATACAAAAATTATGCTCCTAGGTATTTACCCACACCTAGGAGCATGATTTTTGTATTATAAGATAAGACTGTGTTGAAAACTTATGTCATGTAAAAACTTGTACATAAAGGATTATAACACCGTTATTCATAATTTCCCCAAATTGGAAGCAACCACGATGTCCTTCAATATGTAATAGATAAACACTGGTATATCCATACAATTGAACACGATTCAATGATAGGCACAGAAAGACAAATACTGCATGCTGTCACTCATATGTGGAATCTAACATAAAGTTGAACTCATAGAATCAGAGAGTAGAATGGTGGTTACCAGGTGCTGGGGGAGAGGAGGCAGGACTACTGGATAAATGTTAGTCAAAGGATACAAAATTTCAGTTAGGAGGAATAAGTTAAAGAGATCTATTGCATAACCTGGTGACTATAGTTAATAACAATGTATTGTATTCTTGCAAATTGCTAAGAGAATAAATTTTAAGTTTTCATCACAAAAAATGATAAATATATGAAGTGATGCATATGTTGATTAGCTCAATTTAACTGTTCCGTAATGTATGCATATTTCAAAATGTCATGCTGTCCATGATATGACATGATATAGAGATAACAATTATCTCTGTAATTGTTAAACAATTGTTTAATTGTTGTCAATTAAATTAAGAATTAAGAAAAAAATGAAAAATAAATCAGCCATGATTTCTTGATAAAGCCACAAAAAGACATGGAACAGCCTTAAATGCATATTGCTAGGTGAAAAGGGCCAGTCTGAAAGGGCTACATACTATATGATTCTGACTATAAGGCATTCTAACAAAGGCATTCTAACAAAGGCAGAACTATAAAGACAGTAAAAAGATCCATGGTCATTAGGGTTCAGGTGGAAGGGGAGAAGAATGAATGGGGGGAACCCAGAGGATTTTTAGGTAAATGAAACTATTTTGCATAATACCGTAATTGTACATACATGACATTATGCATTTGACAAAATCCACAGAATGTGCAACACCAAGAATTAAAACTAGTGTAAACTATGGACTTTAGTTAACAATAATACATAATTTTTGGTTCACCAATTGTAACAAATGTAGCACACAAATAAAGTATAATAATAGGGGAAAATGGGTGAGTGCAGAGGGTAGGGGATGGTGAGAGAGAGGACACATGTGGGAACTCTCTGTACTTTCTACTGAATTTTTCTGTAAACCTAAAACTGCTCTGTAAAGTAAAAGCTGTTAATGCTTTTTAAAAATGGTTATGGCAGTCTTCTAAGAAAGGCTGTATTTTCAGATTGAATATTTAGACTAATCATCATGAATTTTAGTGGATATACTGTTACATTTTCTAGAAATTATACTTTTAAGCATTGAAAATGTATGAAAGAGAAAAGATATATCACAGGCATTATGGTATAGTAGAAATTCCAACAAATTAGAGTCCGAAACTGGAGCTTTCACTCCATCTCTGTACCTTATTAGCCGTTTAAATAAGTTGAGTCTATTTATCTCCCTAAGCTTTATTTTCCAGATCCATTAAAATTAAATAATATTGCATGTAGTAATAGCATTACAAAAATATACATAGCAATGCAGAGAGGTTGGTTCAGAAGAAAATGGCCAGCAGGCAGCTTCCGAAGATTCCTTGGGCAAATATGCCCAGCTTAGGAACTTGCCTTACAGGCACAGAAAAGTGAAGATGTGAACAATGGCTTCATTGAGAGTGAGGTACCAATGCAGATAACCCTTTAAGTCATACAGAGAAGGAAATAACCATTTAGAGATTGGAACATTCAAAGTCCTATGCTAGCTTATTTTCTCCTTATAGGAAACCAAATCATTAGTTTTTACTAAATCATTAGTGAACCTATAGAAAATTAAATCATTATCAGAAGTTTCTTTAGAGGATATCAGCTTAACCAGAACAAAGAGAGTTCAACGAATTGAAAAGTTAACAGTGTCAGGAAAGAATACTCTAACTCATCCACTTCACATTAGAGATGGTCTTTCCATGGGACTGGGTTCTCAAGGCCAATTAGCTAAGAGGGCGGACTCCATTAATGAATGGCCATGTATGTGTTTGCTCTGCAGTAATCTTATTCCACACTGGCATACTCTCCAAGACTTCTTTTATGTAATATCTATTTTCTTTAGGTTGATGACCATATCTTCAACAAGGAAGAAGAGCCCGGCTTACTAAAGGAGCTTTTGTGTACATAGGCTCTGGAAGACTCTGTGCTGATAGAATTGTGTTTTTTTTTAATACATATATATATTATTATACTTTAAGTTCTAGGGTACATATGCACAACGTGCGGGTTTGTTACATATGTATACATTTGCCATGTTGGTGTGCTGCACCCATTAACTCGTCATTTACATTAGGTATATCTCCTAATGCTATCCCTCCCCCATTCCCCCACCCCACAACAGGCCCCGGTGTGTAATGTTCCTCTTCCTGTGTCCAAGTGTTCTCATTGTTCAATTCCCACCTATAAGTGATAACATGCGGTGTTTGGTTTTTTTGTCCTTGCGATAGTTTGCTGAGAATGATAGTTTCCAGCTTCATCCATGTCCCCACAGAGGACATGAACTCATCATTTTTTATGGCTGCATAGTATTCCATGGTGTATATGTGCCACATTTTGTTAATCCAGTCTATCATTGATGGACATTTGTGTTGGTTCCAAGTCTTTGCTATTGTGAATAGTGCCACAATAAACATACGTGTGCATGTGTCTTTATAGCAACATGTTTTATAATCCTTTGGGTATATACCCAGTAATGGGATGGCTGGATCAAATGGTATTTCTAGTTCTAGATCCTTGAGGAATCGCCACACTGTCTTCCACAATGGTTGAACAGTTTACAGTCCCACCAACAGTGTAAAAGTGTTCCTGTTTCTCCACATCCTCTCCAGCACCTGTTGTTTCCTGACTTTTTAATGATCGCCATTCTAACTGGTGTGAGATGGTATCTCATTGTGGTTTTGATTTGCATTTCTCTGACGGCCAGTGATGATGAGCATTTTTTCATGTGTCTGTTGGCTGCATAAATGTCTTCTTTTAGCTGTTCATATCCTTCGCCCACATTGACAAAGGGCTAATATCCAGAATCTACAAAGAACTGAAACAAATTTACAAGAGTTGTGTTTTAAGTACATGTTCCTCTATTTGACTATTTGAGTTCAAATCTTGGCTCCACTTCTCCAGTACTTGGCTCTTTTATTTATTTGACCTTAAGCAATTGGTTCAACATTCTAGGCCACAGTTTCCTTGCCATTAAATGGTTAGAGTAGCAATGACTATTTCATATTAGCTGTTATAAAAGTTGAAAGAAATTATGCAAATAAAGCACATAGCTCAGTTTCTGACATCACTTAAACACTCAATAAATTGTATCCTGTTTTATTATTAAAAAGCAATCTTATTTCCAATTTGGGGAGATGCCTTACCTTTTGTTTTCAAACAATGGACCAAATACCTGCTTATACTTCTTTGCAGGAAAGAGTATTTTGGCCACCAGGTCTTTCTTCTTTGGAATCAGCATCTAGAATTTTAGGTGCTATGACTTTCTCTTGTCCCTGTGGTTTAAGTGGGGTTCAAACTGACCCTCAGGGTAGAATATTTTGGTTCATATACTACCAAATATGACTCAATTAATACACCAAAATGCCCCTGGCCACAGGGGATAGATGTATATCTCAGGCACCAAACTACAATATTAAGAGGAGCAAATTATTCATTCAAAATCAGCTAGGATATGGGAGGATGAGTCTGAGAATGAAGCCAGTGGAAAGTAGTAGTGAGTGTTGAATGTCATCTGAATCTCCGGATTAAGCCACACTTGAAAGAAATTAGGCTTTTCACTTTGATGAACCAACATTTTCCCTGCCACTACTAGTTTAAGTTGAATTTTGTTTTACTTGCAAACTACAGTTTCTTAACTGATACAACATAAGGTGCAGGGCTGTTTCTTAATGAAAGAAATGAGAGACATATAACAACACTTAGTAAACTGATAAAAATAAAAATAAAATAACAATGTGACAATTTTGTTATCCATTTTAATACCATTATCATTTCAAATATAATCTTAAGAGCCAGAAGATTATTAATTAAATGGAGTAGAAGATATGTGATAATACATTTCTCACAAAGCTCCTGCGGAACTCTTCTTCCTCCTTGTCGCCTGGGGACCAACAGCTGAGAACCAAGCTGAGGATTCTCTAGTATAGCCAGTTCCAATGCAGCCGTGTAAACGTGGTCTCCTGAATGTGGAAAGACGAGACTAGACCACATAAGAGCAAAGTTCCTGTAGCTGAGAAACTTACAGTTCTGATTCCTCGTGCCCTGGTGTACTTGTGGATTTCATACCTCTCGTGATAACAGATAATCTACAGAACTGATGGGAATGGGATCTACCCTTAAGCAAAATCTTAACTGGCTATGGAGCATTATGTTTCTCACTTTTCTTAACAAGGTCTAGTTCCAATCCCAATGTCCAATAGAAAAGGGGAAGTGTATTTATGTTTAAATAAATAAGCTTTAACCAATACTTCTTTGGTATGGTGTAACTCAATAATTATTTTGTGGTTTTGGCTAAATCTTCGTAGGTTTCAAATAATTATTGACAACACTTGTAAATACTTATTAAAACTATCACTATAAAAAGTTGTGGTATTTATATATAAATAATACTTTTAGGCATGTTTACTTCTAGTCTTATAAAAATAATTTTAAATGTGTTTTTTTTCCTATTAATACATGTTAAAAATCTTTTAACATTTTGGAATACTTTTTAATCTATGGTCCTATCTTCCTTTGTCTCCAAAACAAGAAATGTTTAGAGAAGCCATTATGAATCTGAGTAATGGAATTCCATGGTTCACTTTCATCTTGCAATACCAAAGGTCTGTTTACAGTTTTGGGATCAGGATAATATTTCTAAGCTAATAGTCTTTCCTTAAAATAGCTGTTTAAATATACAAGTCGAGGATTCCTAATCTAAAAAACTGAATTCTGAAATGCTCCAAGATCCTGAACTTTTTGAGCACTGATGTGAGGCCTCAAGTGGAAAATTCCATACCTGACTTCATGTAATGGGCTGCTATGGTTTGGGTGTTTGTCCTCACTGAACTTCAAGTTGAAATTGATCCCTATTATTGGAAGTGGGGCCTAATATTGGGGTCATAGGTCTGGAACCCTCATGAAAAAATTAATGCCATCCTTTGGAGGTTGGTGAGTTCTCACTTTTTAGTTTTCTCTAGGTCTGGTTGTTAAAAAGAGCCCAGCATCTCCCCCATTTCTCTTGCTTCTTTTTGTGCCACATGGCCTCTGCACATTGCTGGCTCCCCTTTGCCTTCTACCATGAGAGGAAGCTGACTGACACCCTCACCAGATGAAGATGCCGGTGCCATGCTTCTTGTACAATCTGCAGAACCATGAGCCAAACAAATCTCATTTCTTCATAAGTTACCTAGCCTGAGGTATTCCTATGCAGCAGCACAAACTGGACAAAGACATGGGTCACAGTCAAAATGCTGCCAACACTTTGTTTCATGCACAAAATTGTTAAAAATATTGCATGAAATTATCTTCAGGCAATCTGTAAAAGGCATACATAAAACAAAAACATTTCATATTTAGACTTGGCTTTCCATTCCCAAGATATCTAATTATATATATGCAAATATTAAAACATCTGAAAAGATCCTAAGTCCAAAACACTCTGGTCTGTGCGTGTGTGTATGTATATATATATACAAAATTTTCATCTCATTGCTATCAACAATTTATTGTATATATTAACCCCAATTAAAGAAGCTATTTTATACCTTTATTCCCATCATATATTTTTCACTTAAAAATACTGAACTTTGAATTAAAAATGCACACTGGGACATTACCACATTCCGATAAAAAAAGGCTTAAAGGTGGTCAGACTAGGATTTAGTAAATTAGTAATTAATACTAAAAATTTTCCCAGAGGCACTTAGAATAAATATGTGGGAATAACAGGAAATTGTTTGAATGAGACATCTCTCTATCTTTCCCTTTCTATCTCTGTCTCTGTCTGTGTGTGTTTCTCTCTCTCTTATTTTTTATTATCCTTTTAATCTTCCCTCCTGCCTGCCACCAGGGTCCACATGCTGAGCCTGACCTTTAGTAAGCACCAAAAAGTAGTGCCTCATACTCCAGCTTTAAACATCTTTTTTGTTCCCTGTCATAACCTAGTTATCACTTGTTTCATTCCTCTAAGAAACTTGCAAGAAAACATGTTATTGCATCTCTAATTAATTAACTCACATAAATGTATTAATGACTTAGGATTTTGTTTGTTTTCTCATTTTAAAAAATTGTCTCCTGGGAGTATTTGTTATTCAAAAGGGAACTCCTAGAGACTTGAAGACAATACCATAGATTAAATCATGATTGGTAGAAATTTATGAGGCCTAGGAGAGAGATAGATTATGAAAGGAAGGAATCTTTTATAACATTTATCAAATTGCCCCAGATAGACAATCTTCCCTCTGTTCTAATGTAAGATACATCCTAACTCAAAACCACTAAACCTTTTTGATGGTGTCACTCACATCATGAATTCTCCACAGTTTAAAAAAATCAACAAGAAGAAAAAGAAATAGAAAATAAAGAGAAGAAGAGAATGTGGAGAGATCAAGTAATATCTCTGTCTTTCTCAGGAATTCACGGCTCAGATACAGGGTTACTGAGATTTTTAAACCTGGCACATCAGTAACAGCACAGACAAACAAAATGCAAAATGGACATGACAAATTTGATTTATTCCAGGCAGAGATTCACCAAGCGAGAGATATCTATTGTTATATGAAATTATAAATGCTACCATCACATGCTGGAGAAGATAAACAATCTCTTATTCACTTTAATTTTTCATGTCCAGATTTAAACTGGAAAAAATGCTTTCCATTTATGTTGCATTTAAAGGTTAAATCCTATGACCGAAGTAAAAATAAGCACAAAAAAATGGAGTTTGATTTACGTAGTGCTGCTGAACCTCCTCCTTCTCATTCCAATAGAAGTGATTTATTGCTAGATTGTGAGTTAAGGCATGTGATCTTTAGCAGATTATTTATTTATTTTTTGTTCAAACTGTTTTTTACCTCATGCCAAGTCCAAGCTCATTTAAATGAGGTCAAGATTGCAGCTGGTTCCTGGATGTGTTAAATGGTTTTCCTACAGCAGGTGACTTCTTTCCTTCAGTTATTTGTCCTTGGAGAAATTTTTGCACCTTCCCCAAGGAAATGGGAGGAGGGACTTTTTAAAAGGTTAGTGGATGAATCAGTAGTTAAATTATCTTCAAATATTTAATAGGCCTCTAAGGTATTAAAGTTATGTCTGGATCTGTTTGACTGCTATTATCAATTTGAGGTGGCTAATTTTCTTCATCAAAGAAAGGACTCTTTGCTGGCCTCTGCAAAATATGCTTAATCTTTCATTGTTGACATTTCCACTTGCGAAATAATCAATGTAATTATCAGGATTATCCTTGAGTATGGCTAAATGGAATCAGAAAATGATTGGGATTTCTTCAAAAAAGTTGAAAACATTTCAGAGAATTTCTCATTTAAAATGTCTATTGAAGCCAATTGCAGATAATTCATCTATATATATAATTGATGAATTAATATATATAATATATATTTATTATATATTATGTATAATATGTATACAATTATATATTTTCTCATATATATGAGAAAAGAAACTCATAAAATATTTTGGTTTATGTATTTATAGAGGCATCAACAATAAAAACTGCTTCAGTCAGTAAGTTTTAGTCTTGAAATAGGCTTGATATGCAAAGGATAGACATTAAGGTACACATATTTCTCCTTATGACAGGGAGTGAGATGGGGTAGATGAAACATAGTATATCAGTACAAGTCTTGTGGGAACAAGATGAGGAAACAAATTCAAACCAATTTAAGAGCAGCAAGTAGAATTTATTGGCTGGTAAAGTCCAGAAAAATGTTTCACAACCAGACCAAGAGAAAATGCCAGGATGCTGCTTGGTGCTAGGTGCATGTGGGGCCAGGAAACCAGATACCCCTGGTGTTCCCTAGCTTTTCTCTCTCACTACAGACCAGCTTTGTCCAAAAGACAATGTAGGAAAAGAATCCACTCTAGCTTATTTCAACCGAAAGATTTATTACGTTTATTAAATAGATTATGAATTATTGGGAAAGCTAAAAAAATAGAACCTAGGCTGAATTTCCAGGAACAGCTTCCAAAGGCTCTTTGCCGTACTGCATAGCCAAGAGCACTGCTGCCTCTAACCTAACTGAAAACTGCCAACAAAACTGGAAGTCGCCACTGCAGCTGTTCATTGCTAAACTTTCTGCCTCTGCCCCACTCTACACTAGTAAAACCTCTGCCTTTTTCACTGGAAATTCAGTTTTGAATTCATGTCTCATCCATGTGCACTTAATTGGTAGAGTCCAAAGTTCACCTAGAACCCTCACTGAAAGGAAGTCTGGAAGAGGTAGTTTTAGGTGGTTTTAGCCCTTCAGCTTCAGCAGTGCAAGAAGGCACTCTAGAAGGAGATTGGAAGAGATAAGAGATATTGAGTCAATGCATAATACACTTCCTGGGCATGAAATATGCCTGGTATGTTCTGAGTTTCCAGTTTAGAAATTCAACCATTAGAAAGAGATTGAGTCAATGCTCTTGCAAGTTTTAAAATTCCCAAGGCACAATAATTCACCTTTTCCTCATCTGATAACCACCTCTTGTCAGTGGAAAGGGTCACTTTGAATAAAATGCTCACTCCTATGGTGATGGTGCTGATGGGGCCACAGTTGCTGGAAAAGGAGTGCGGGGTCAACAACCCCATAGATTTTCATTTTGTGTATATATGTGTGTATACATACATATGTATGTATTTATCATTTACGTGTGTGTGTGTGACTATTTACCCTTTATATATGTATATCACGTGACTAGGTATTCACATATCTAAATTCAAATATGCTGCAGTGGATAGTAAATACCAATCAAGTGATAGTGTCATTACCAAAATTTGGTGTTTAGAGTTTGTATAAAAGTTATACAAGCTTGTTATTTGCTGCTGTGCCATCAAATTGCGTGTTTCTCAGGCAAGGCTCATAATATAAGCAAAGGTGCAATTTGAGGATCATAACGGACATTTGCTAGAGGCTCAGAAGACTGGGAGAAATTTTGAAAAGGAAAACCTGTAGCCAGATTTTACTAGTCCTTGAACTACTGGAAAACCAATTTAGATGGTCTCTTCTAAGGAATGTATTGCACATAAAAGCATTAAACACAATTTCTGAAGGTTAGTCTAGGGGTGGTATAAAAAACAAATGTGGAAGACAACAGATGCAGAAAGGCCAGAAAGGAGGATAAAGCCACTATTCTAGAGACAAACTGATGCAACTAAAGAGGGTAGTGGAAGGAACAAAAAAAAGATGAGACAAATGAACTGTGGTTTTCATAAACATGGTTTTAAAATCATAACTTTTTAATTTATTTCACATTTTTGGGAAAATGTATGAAACTGCTTTAGATCAAGGAACGTAAAACCATCATTGCAAAACTTATTTCATTTTTGAGACGGAGTCCAGCTCTGTTGCCCAGGCTGGAGTGTGGTGGCACGATCTTGGCTCACTGCAACCTCCACCTCCCAGGGTTCAAGCGATTCTTCTGCCTCAGCCTCCTGAGTAGCTGGGACTACAGGTGTCCACCACCACACCTGACTAACTTTTGTATTTTTAACAGAGACGGGGTTTTGCCATGTTGGTCAGGCTGGTCTGGAACTCCTGACTTCAATTGATCCACTCTCCTTGGCCTCCCAAAGTGACAAAACTTATTTTTACGTTAACACTGTATTGCTTGATGTACTTAATAAAATGATACATGTAAATTTGGAAAGCCATTGACAGTCACATAAGCCCAATTTTCCAAAGTAAAATTATGGAAGCTAAATTATTGAACCGAAGTCAACACAGCTTCCAATTAGAGAAGGAAGAAGTAGAGTTCCTAGAAAGTGGTCAAGTAATCAGTATTCCAATTTACCATTTCCAAGGGAAGCTGGCTTTGAAGATGCATGCAATCTCATAACTTGTGACTTAAAGTATTTTGCCTAGTATCAGAGGGGAGACTTGTTACCTTGGGAGAAAAGGGCTAAAAAATTTACATAAGAAAAACGTGGAAGTAAAAATAGCAGTACACAAAAATCTTGACATCTACTCTTGCTATTGTAGGCTTTCCATTTCTGTAGGTAAGTTGACCTGTTTCAAGATGGTTTTACCCTCATGTAAGTCCTAAACATATTTTCTTTCTACGGGACCCATTGTTACTACCATTCAAATGGTTGTGAGCCTGGTAGGTAAGAACCAGAGATGGCTGGCACAGAAATAATTCTCCTTTCTTGCTTGGCTTCCTTAAGTTTACCTTCCTGATTATGAAAATTAAAATTCAGGATGATTTTTAACAGTCTTTTGTGTTTTACCACTCCACTTTTTAAACTAGAGTATCAGTGTGAAATAAGAGGATTTATAACAGCCATGTTTCTCTGGTTTCTTAGAAGGATACACATGAGTAATCAATACACAGTAATGAAATGGAACACTTGTGTCATGGATTTTTCGGATTCAAATTTCACTGGGAGCAAATGCACCAAAAGAAGTTTCCTATCCAAGCCTTGTCTAATAAACAGACCCGACAGTATATTACACAGCAATCTTTCTCAACTCCTGTGTGTGTGAGACTTTGGCTCATTTTCAATGTGTTGCTCTTCAAGTTAATTCCGTAGCTATGTATCTATGTCATTTACTTGATATTCATTGAGAGTTATACCTTATTCCAAGTTTGATTATTTCCTGCTTTTAATCTTAAGATCTTAGAGTTTTACTCTAATCCCATGATCCTTAAAAGAGTATTTGGAAAAGATACATGCCTATGTTTTTCATATTACCCCCATAAGAAAAGACGCTTACAAACTTTTTTCAATAAAGAAATAATTCAACTTTATGTGAAATATTAATCAGTGCCAGTATTTCCATATGCTTACGATTTGCTACATTAAAGCATTCATCGATATTCATTAATAATGGTTAGTCCTTTATTCATGCTGAATGCTGTTCTTTTTCTTTTTTCCCCTAACAAACAAACAAACAAAGAAAAAGAATATAATCACAGCTTCCAATATTAAAATATAATTTAACAACAGAAAAGTTAAGTCTAATTCTTTTCTTACTGTAGCTTGGCTCAGAATATAATTTGGAAGAGGCTTAAAGCCTCAATTTCAATTGGCCTCGCTTATTCTCAGTGCAACCTTGAAATAAATTTATTGTTTTTCATTTATATTTAAGGTCAGATGAAAGATAAGTTAGGATCTATTGCACTGGCTGTAACAACCAATAAAATAGCTCACCACAGCCTGGAGAATACCTAGTTCCTAATCACAAATGATGTGAAACATAGTCCATTACAGAAGTTGCCATTTTACACTACATCCATGTCCTAAGTAAGAAAATAATTTATATTCTTATCTGTGGAGCTAATGTTCATATGGTAGAGGTAGAATGATACAACTGCTTAGAAATTCTATTAGCTGGGCTATTAGAATTATTTTAGTTGGGCAAGTTGGAGAATAGCAGCATTTAAATGAATAATATTCATTAAAATAAATATTCATATTAAAAGTAAAAACACTTTCACTAATAAAACAGCCAGTACCTTTCTTTTCATTTGTATCACCTATATACATATTTTTAGACTCAAATTGTCTAAAACAAGTGAGACAAACTTTACAAGTAAATGTCTCCCTCCCAATACTATCTTTAATAGTACCCTGTAGCATACTGATCATTTAATAAATCTAATATTCTGTAGAAAATTTATAACCTTGAGAAAATACTTTTGACCTATAATTTGTGTGCAACAAATTCACCAATTTTAATTGTATAATTTGATGTGTTTTAACAAATGTATAATATAGTGTTGTAAGTCACACCAAAATCATGATATAGAATATTTTCATTGCTCCAAGAAACTCCCTTGTGCTCTTTTTGTAGAGAGTGTACTATAAATTTATTGGTATATCTAACAGGCTTTTATCTGTAATTCATGAATCAGGGCAGTTAGAATAAGAGCTCCCACTGGATAATGGCAGAATGGTAGGTTTTGTGAGGTGGAAACAAAGAAACAGAATAATAGAAAAAAAAAAAACAGATTGACTTTTCAGTTAACCAGCTTTTGGTTTCATTGAGTTTCTTTGTTGTCTTCACTGTTTTTATTTCATTGATTGCTGCTGTTATTTTCTTTTTTTTTTTTTTTTTTTTTTTTTTGAGACGGAGTCTCGTTCTGTCGCCCAGGCGGGAGTGCTGTGGCGCGATCTCCGCTCACTGCAAGCTCCGCCTCCCGGGTTCACGCCATTCTCCTGCCTCAGCCTCCCGAGTAGCTGGGACTACAGGCGCCCGCCACTGCGCCCGGCTAATTTTTTGTATTTTTAGTAGAGACGGGGTTTCACCGTGGTCTCGATCTCCTGACCTCGTGATCCGCCCGCCTCGGCCTCCCAAAGTGCTGGGATTACAGGCGTGAGCCACCGCGCCCGGCCTGTTATTTTCTTCTTATTGTTTCTTGTGTTTATTGTACTTATTTTCCTTCTGCTTACTGGATTTAATTAGCTCTTTTGCCTGATATTCCCCTTTGTCTTAAGTTTTTAAAGTTGAATTCTTAAATTATTAATTGAGCCCTTTCATCTGTTCTACCATAAGTATTTGATGCTATGCATTTTCCTCTGTGCACCGCTTTTGCTCTACTCTGAAAATTCTGATAATGTTATGTTTTTATCTGGTTTACTTTTATTTTATTTTTATTTTCATCTGGTAAAGACATTTCTCATTTCACTTTGTCCTTTCTCCCATGAGGTATTTAGGAAGTGTTGTTTAATTTCCAAATATTTCAGGGATTTTCCAGATACTTTTTAGTTATTGAATTCTAATTTAACTCCATTGTGATCAGAGGGCATGATTTTCTGGGATTTCAGTTTCTTTAAGTATATTGAGATTTGTTTTATAGCCCTGAATAAGGTGTATTTTGGCAAATATTCTGTGCACACATAGAAATAATGTGTATTTTGCTGTTGTTGAGTGGAGAGTTCATTGGGTCAAGATGATTGATAGTGTTGTTTAAGTCTTTCATACACAGTTTATCCTTGAACAACCCTTGAGAGTTAAAAGTGCCAACCTCCTGTGTGGTCAAAAAATCTTTGTGTAACTTTCAACTTTCCAGAATCTTAACTAGTATAACCTGCTGTTGACCATAAGCCTTGCTGGTAACATAAACAGTTGATTAGCACCTATTTGGTATGTTATGTGTATTTTATAGAATAAAGTTAGCTAGATAAAACAAAATATAATTTAAAATCATAAGGAAGAAAAAATGTATCTACAATTCATTAAGTTGAAATGTATCATAGAAGTCTTCATCTTCATTTTCTTTGTGTTAAGTAGGCTGAGGAAGAGGGGTAGTTGGTCTTCCTGTCTCAGAGGCGACAGAGGCAGAAGAGGTGGAGGAGATAGAAGAGGATGCAGGAGATGAAGGCACACTTGGTGTAAATTTGATTGAAAAACATCTGAGTATAAGTGGATCTACATGGTTCAGACTCATATTATTCAAGGGTCAACTATCCTAACTGATTTTCTGTCTACTTTTATATCAGTTACCAAAACAGATGGGTTGAAATTTTGTACAATAATTCCCAAGAAAGGAAATCTTCTCATTGGACAGGACAGACAAAAAAAATTGGCTCTTCAAGATGTGAATAAGAATTTAACAGGATGTTAACTACAGAAAGAATATCCTAGAGTTAAAAACAAGAAATTGGGTCTTTCAAAATGTGAATAAGAATGCAACAGAATGTTAACTACACAAAGGATATCCTAGAGTAAAATGTATGTACATTAAATGTTAGCTAGATAAAATTACAAAGTTTTACCCATTTTCTAACTACAGCTGTCTTTAAGAAGTGCTTTGGATCATAGATGGGAGTAAGAAGAGATTAGAAATAATGGCATTTGGGGGTATTTATGCAAATGTCTTGCTTTATTATTTTCTTAATGCTGCTTAATACACCTAAAGTTATAGAAGAAAAAAATAAGGAAATTTAGATTTTGTTATATTGAGATAATGTTAAATATCTTGAAGTATACAGAATGTAACTACAAAAACAATTAAAAAATCACCACCATTTCCACCAAAAACATTTTCTGCAAAATGAGAAGTATGTCTGAAGGAGGAGGGAAATGGGCGATGTGGCAGCTTAAAATGAGGACCAGTTCATGAAGTGCCTGGCAGTCATTCTAACAGCTTGATATTTTATCCTGATGGCAAAAGGAATCACTGAAGGACTTTAGGGATTGAATTACTAATGGGTTAATATATTAGTATATATGGGATTTGTCAAGACCACTTTGGCAGAAAAATGGAGGATTCAAGGCAAAGAGTAACAATTAGGCATTTAGAACTTATGTAATTTTACTGAAAGTCAATGAAAACCTAAATGGAGGGGGGTGGTGTCCAAATTTGGAAGAAGATTTCTGAAGAAAATTCATTTGAGGATCACTTGAAGGTGTATAATTAGATAGAGATTCCAATAAATTTAAATCTAATGAAAAGTTGTAGAAATCAAGCTAAAAGTACAAGAATATTCTTATTAAAAGACAGGTATATGCTTTGTTAGGTTTTAAATAAATGACTTTTGAGCTGCCTATGAAACTTCTGGGTAGAATTCAATAGAGAGCTTGAATTAGAGCTTTAGGGCTTAGCATGGAATCCAGGAAATGGATGAAATTTTTCAGAGGAAGGTAAAGGATTTAGGATAGTTATCTAGGCAATGAATGCAAACTAAAGTGACCCTGAGTGGTTCGGGCAGACAACAATCTGTGCCAAACTTGGCCACATCATGGTATTTATTTTGGAACAAATTAACAGGTTCTGTTTAATGAGAAGTAAAATTTTACCCAATTGATCTCATGCTGTTTCTGACCAAGATGAAATAAAATGAAAAATCCTAGGCTTACATTTCTGGAACCATTTCCAGTTTGAAATGCTTTGGCTTATGTTTTGGGCCAAATCTCAAAGAGATGTTTTTTCCCCATTTCTAATTACAGGGAAAAATATAATACAATTTTCTCTAAATTAAATCTATTAACCCTGATATTACAAACACTCTTTTCTCCTCCTCCTCCTCAAAAATACAATTTTACAACAAAAGTAGGTATGAACTTGAGAGTTTTGCTTCTTTGGGCAATTGAATGATCTAATTGAATCAACATCGTTAAATTTAAGAATTCATAATTATTGTGGTATTTCTGCTCAGTGACTTTTTTCCCAAGCTTATTAGAGAACCCAAACTCATTCTCTTAGCCCCTCATCTCCACTACATCAGCACTGATAAACCATTGTTGAAAATGCTAGAGTCAAGAGCGCATTGATCTCTTATAGTAGAAGCAATTTCCTGTTTTCAAAAACTTGTAATGAGATTTTTAAAATGCAAACAAATCTAATATATCCACAGGAGAGATTACAGAGTTGGATAAACGCAGACAAACTGACGTTTAAACTATTGCAACCATCTCTAACATTCTATTGTTAATGTGCTAGCAGGGTTCTCTACTCAGAGAATGGAAGACATCTGGAGATAAATAGATATGTTTCCTAAAATATATCTTCTCACTAAAATTTATACACCATGTAGTTATTTGACAAGAAAAGACCTTGTCTTTTACTACAGTCTGTCAATGATTTTAGAGATTAGTTTTGATGTCAACATACATGCATGAGAAATGTATTATTTCTAGGGGGCCATTTTTCTAGCATTACAGTATGAGTTATGAGAATACTCAGGACCAACTTTTCCCCCCACATTAGAGACACATGTTGTTATTTAATTATTGAAAGACTTCTGGTATGTTAAAATTATTAAGAACAATTTTAGATGTTAAACTTTAAATATTTTCTTCCAGAAATTCAGCAATCTTACCCCCCGCTACCATAATAATCACCATCAGAGATGGCGAAACACACCATCCATTACTTCAAGCCATCACATGCATTGCAATAATCATAAAAGCAAAATAAAGAAGGATGCTCCTACTAAACTTGTGAAGTATTTACTCCCTCCCCAACACGCACACCGTCTGTTTTGTTTTATTTCCAGTGGGGTCACAACATTTGCTGGGGCTTTGCCACCTAACCACTAGGCTAATTAAGTTGTCTTGGGGGTCTCCCCTTTTCCCTCCAATCCATTTACTTCATCTAACGTATCTCTGCCAGGTTGATATTCTTAAAAAGGCTCTCTTTCATCATGTTATCGGAACAAGGTGGTCTGCCCTCCATGAACTTTGTATCTAGAATCCAGAAGAGATAAATATGCATGTTAAGTAAGAGAGGAGGGACTAAACCTGCCCAGGACTGATTGAAACATTAAAGAGATGATTATTGATAGTCCAAGGAGAAATATATTTCCATAGCAACTTTTATTTTACATTTAGACTTACTGAACTCTTCCTCTAAAAAAATCTTAATTTATTTAACACCAGGACATTTTATTCCTAACAATAATAGTTAAGCCTCACTTCTTATTTCTTCTGCTCCTCGTAGCACTCTGTTCACTAACACTTTCTTTCCTTTAATTTTGATAGTTCTCCAAATAGACGTCATACTTCTACCACTCTGTCCATCTGTTGATGGAGTGGTGTCTCCACATTTTTTTTTTTGCTTTGCAAAAGCCTGTGCCTCTGATAGGGTGGCCTTCAAATATTTCCATGTATGTTTGTCTGATATTCTCAGACAGAAATAGCTACTTGTCATATCATGGCTTATTCATCATCTCATCAGTTGGTATAAATCTATAAACTATAGCATACTATAGTCCTAAATAGGAATCTAATAAATATTCAATAGAACTTCTGACCATATTTATTTTTTATTCAAAAAAACATTTACTGATAGTTGACTACCTTGAGGAAATACAGTAAATGTACAATGCTAACAATTATTGAGCTCTTATTTCTCTAAGACGCAGTACCCAGAACTTGACATGTATCACATTTCCATTAATCCTCAAAAACTCACAAAGGTAAGTGTTATTATCCCCATTGACAAGATGGGGAAACTGAGGTACATGGAAACAAAAGAGTTTGCCAGTGCAGCCCAGCTGGGAATGGCGGGCATCTTAAAGCTCAAAGCAATACTGCCTTCTCTTACACATACCTCACTTTATATTCATGAGTCTTATTTAGCAAGGACTGCCACAACTATCTATAGGCCCTGGGGCACTATGGAACTTGCCCAAGGATCACTGGGGTTTAAGGCACAGCTGAGATTAGGAAACAGCTTTTGAAACTGAACAACTATATTCTTTTCACAGCCCCTCACTGTCTCACAATGATGTCCTTCTTCAGTTAATGATTTTGACTTTCCAATGTTAAGTTACGGTAAAAAACCAACCAACCAAAAAAAACACACCTGTGCAATTTTGCATGTTTTTAAACAGAATTGTTTCTCGATGTTATGATTTCCCTCAGTGCTCTAAGTGCCTAAATTTCCCCATTACACGTCAAGAAAAACTAAATTTACTAACACTCCAATAACTTTATAATGTCACATTACAAAAATCTGTGTCCATAACTCCATTTTTCCAAAGGAATTTCCTTTTTCTGAGCTTTATTTTATGTTTTTAAACTAAATGAAATACAGAAAGCAATGGTTTAGTACACAGCATGGGTTTGCCAACACTAGTTTACATTAGACCTGCTAGCTAAACCTCATTTCTCACCTGTGAGTCCAACAAATAAATTATAAATGCTGGCACAATATTTATATTATTATTTTTACGGCCCACAATTTACAACTCTGACTGTCCTTGAGAGGCTCTGCGTATTTGTTACGGTTCCCCTCCAGGGAGGATTCATCATATGACGACTCAACATCTGTGCTCAGGGAAAATTCAGGCTCCGTCTACTATATTCCATTTCCCAAGAAGCGTTATTGTTCCTCATTGATTGTGTAACGGAGGATTAATTATGCTGTCACTTAGTGTATTTACATCCTTGGTGGTTGTATTGGCTTGCTGACTTTAAAAGGGCCAGTCTACGTCCTGCAGAGGGACATATCTGTTTTTTTTTTTTTTTTTTTTTTTTTTTTGAGACGGAGTCTCGCTCTGTCGCCCAGGCTGGAGTGCAGTGGCGCGATCTCGGCTCACTGCAAGCTCCGCCTCCCGGGTTCACGCCATTCTCCTGCCTCAGCCTCCCGAGTAGCTGGGACTACAGGCGCCCGCTACCACGCCCGGCTAATTTTTTGTATTTTTAGTAGAGACGGGGTTTCACCGTGTTAGCCAGGATGGTCTCGATCTCCTGACCTCGTGATCCGCCCGCCTCAGCCTCCCAAAGTGCTGGGATTACAGGCGTGAGCCACCGCGCCCGGCCGACATATCTGTTTTATAAACTGCCTTCTTGCCACGTATTGCTACCGCACAGGTGCTGTGTCTGTATTTCAAAACAACCAATGGAATAGGAAAAGTCTTCATCAGCTGGTTATTTTTAACTCTTAAGAGAAACTGGATTGGTGCGTTTTTCACTAAATTAACCACTGGTGCTGTTGGGGTGCCGTGGCTCACGCCTGTAATCCCAGCACTTTGGAAGGCCAGCAGGGAGGTTTGTTTTAATCCAGGAGTTCAAGAACAGCCCAGGCAACATTGGGAGACCCCACCTTTACAAAAAACGTTTTAAAAAATTAGCCAGGTGTGGTGGTGTGCGTCTATAGTAGCAGCTACTTGGGAGGCTGAGACATGGGGATGTCTTCATCCCTGGAATTTGAAGCTGCAGTGAGCCTTGATTTTGTCACTGCATTCCAGCCTGGGCAAGAGAGAGACCCTGTCTCAAAAAACTTAAATAAGTAAGTAAGTAAATAAATAAATAAATAAATAAATAAATAAATAAATATTATACACTGGTGGACAGTAATTAAAAGTAAAATAACCAGCCGGGCGTGGTGGCTCATGCCTGTAATCCCAGCACTTTGGGAGGCTGAGGCGGGCGGATCACGAGGTCAGGAGATCGAGACCATCCTGGCTAACACAGTGAAACCCCGTCTCTACTAAAAATACAAAAAAATTAGCCAGGCGTGGTGGCGGGTGCCTGTAGTCCCAGCTACTCGGGAGGCTGAGGCAGGAGAATGGCGTGAACACGCGAGGCAGAGCTTGCAGTGAGCCGAGATCGCACCACTGCACTCCAGCCTGGGTGACGGCGTGAGACTCCGTCTCAAAAAAAAGAAAAAAGAAACCTAAGCTGGAGTCCCAACTTTAACAGTTATTGGCTCTGTGACTTACTAAGGGTAAGTAAATTAAAATTCTGTGCCTAAAATGTCCTCAACTTTAAAAACACAGGTGATAATAATGTCCATATGACATAGAGTGACCAAGAGTAAATGAGATAAAGCACATCACCTAACAGAATGTCTGGTAACTGACACTCAAAAATATAGCCATCATTTTATGCAATGAGTATCACTCAGAGCTGCTGTTTAGTGTATTCGTTAAGTGTACAGTCACTGCAGCAGTGATTGCAAGCTTTTATTATCTCTTTCAAATAATATATCTAGACTTAATCTTTGTTTATTTATATAGTATATCTATTTTCCTCAAAAATTAAAAATGACCACAGGTCAAAATATTTCTTCCTATTTTCGGATGTACAGATTATGCTTAAATAATCACGAGTTTTACAACTGCCTAAAAGTAGACCAGTGATTAACCTTGAAATATGATTGTTTCTTTTCACTTGTGTCAATTAATGGGTTTTTTGGACATGGCCAACATTACCAGACAACTTTGTCTATCTTACTCTCACACTCAACCAAACACTGGGATATCTAAATGGTACAATCATGTGGTGTGTGTCAACAGTTCCACCCTAGGCATCATGGGACATTCTGTTTCATCTCTTTCCTATAGTCCAGCAACAGCCTTGTCTCCCCTTTTTCATCTGTGCCCTGAAGAAACTAGGGTGTTCTTTTCTTAAACTACAAAAGAACCCATATTGTTAACTTAGTCAACACTCATCAGTAGCCTTCTAACACACTTAGGATTAAATCCAAACTCCTTACCACAGCCTACATGGCCTTCTGGAAGTTGATCCTTGCCATTCTGTCTACTCTCTGATCTCCTCTCCTGGTATTTTTTCCTTGAACACCAAGTTCCAGTCATCCTGATCTTCTTGCTTCTTAAACATACCAAGTTCATGCCTTACCCAGGATCTTTGTGCTTGTTCCTTCTCCTAGAAGCCTTTTTATAGATTTTCAAATACCTTCCAAAGTCTTGTCCTCAAGATGTCTGCCAATACGTTACCTTATCTCTTTTGAAATACCTTCCTTGACCACAGTCTCTAGAATACTCCCCGTTTCCCCATTCCTCCCCATTGCCCTGTTTCTTTTCATGGTATTTACCACTATTTGCAATGTTAATAATGTATTTATTCATCTATTTTCATCTGTTAAAACACAATCTATAGAAAGGCAAAGACTTCCAGCATTTTGTTTATGGCTACATCCCTCCAGCCCAGAGCCTAGAGCTGTGAGAGAAGCAGCTCAGAGAAAGTAGGCAGTCAAGAACAGGAATGATCTAAAACAGAGCCTACCTTGTATTTGTAAGTCATAAATATCATTTGATTGCAGAGGGGAGTAACCTCAACATGTATTATTTAAAAGCCTAAACATACTTTTTGTTGTATAGTTTATTGTGCTTTTATTTTCATAAGAATGGCACCAACTCTATTGATGCTAATTTACCTATTTAATTATGCAAACATTATTTAATGAGTTAACCCAAAATGTATATTTTATCATGTGATGCTTAAAATGCTGCTGGATGAAAAATTAAGAGCCTTGAATCATTTAAATACATTCAAGGTTATATTATTCAGCTATATAACAACAAAAGTCTGAACTACTATTTCAGTGAAAGTCAATGACATTCCTTTCACCGAAATATTATTTTTACTCTGAGTTTTTTAAAAAACACAATTGTGAGCATGTGAGCTAGTTTGGCTATGATATCTTATTAGTGTAGCTGAATTTTAATCAGAACATGGAGTTATGTGGGGCGAAAAACACAATAATTTGTATTTGATGCAATACTGCTAGCTATACTGCAAATAATTAGATCCTAGTATCCAAACATGAAAATTCAGTATAAGTGAACTTAAAATAGTATTTGAGAACAAACCAGTAAAACAAAATGAAATTTGTACTACACTTGTGACCTTAAGCTATGAATATTAGAGCAATTACTCTCTATTGTCCTGCATATGCAATCAACCTGAAATGTAGAACAACTTAGCACTACGTAAAACTTATTTCCTCCAAGGTTAAATTACAGGTCTATCTCTTTATAATATATTCATTACAGTACATTTCAACAAAAACAGTATAGGCTCTAACAAAACATTAAGGATAAAGCTCCTTTTATTAAAGAAGAATTTGAATAATATCCCCCAATAATCTGAGAGAATGTAGAGATAGATTTGTCAATATATGAACAGAATCTTACGGAAATAACAAAATTTTCAGAAATAATTATAATCTGCTTAAAAATAAGAACCTCCTCCTTATAAAAGTTATCCCCACCCCATGAGAGATGGATTGAAGGAATGAAGGAGTCATGCTTTCATTCTGTAATTCTTTATTGATTATCTTTTATGTCTCCACATCCCAGACAAGGTGTTGGGAATCAAAGATAAGCAATCCCTAGAGGTTCTCATTGTTTGCTAGGTGAGCTGGATACACACGCCTAATTAAAGCATGTCTCTCCCCCCAACTCTAAGAAGAGGTGCGCCTCCCAGGATCTGCTAGGAATTGCCTATATTCTTCTCCCAATGTGGTCAACACTTATGACTGTACCTTATAATTTAGCACTTAATGAAATGTCCAGTGTGTAGATGTATTGTTCTTTATTCTCAGTTCATGTTTTGTAATGTGCAACCATGATTTAGTATTTTTTTATTTATTTTAAATGCCCAGTACGATAAAAGACTGACAGTGGACACTAATCAAACAGAAAGATGATATATACAATCTAGGTCATAGTACAGGGGAGTCACCCTTTATATTAAAATATCAAAGGAAGAATTCTATATCATATCATCTTTGAGCACCTATTTAAAATCAAATTTCAGAATTCCAGATTTCTCTTCCTTTAAAAGAGAAAAGTTCTCTACATTGCTTATCATTACCAAGTTCTTACTTTATTTACTCGTTTTGTTTATTGAAATCTTCCCTAATAGAATGTAAGCTCCATGGGACAGGGATTTTTCTCCTATCCCAAATTACTAAAAAAGTGCCTGGCACATAGAAGCTACTCAATAAATATCTGTAGAATGAATAAAGGAAGGAATAATTCCTATTTTCAAAACAAGTCAGAAGAATGTTATTGATGTAATCTATATTATACATATGGAGAGATGCACATATAGGAAATACATATATGTATAGGATACATAGGGAAATATATATAAAAATGGGATATATTATACATATCTATAAATATATATAAGCAAATAAAAGAACAAACTTTCATAAGGTCAATAAATGAACAAAACTTAATAATTATATCATAGGTCAATGGAATGTCCTGACATACTTCCTCAGTACTAACGTGTATAAAATAGCTTAGTATTTTGGAAATCAGACTGCATTTTTAAATTCATTTGTACATGTAATATGATGGCATTTTAATTGTTTTTCTCCTAATCTAAAGGCTATTAGTCATTTTATGGCCTGTGTGTCCCAATTGATGCTTTATTAGAATTGAGAAAGTATGTTCATTTGCTGCGTACTGATGATCAGTATCATGTTATTACCATACCATAACCATGGTAAACATCCCTGACACTGGCAATATGAATAGGTATGATGTCCAGAAGAAGGTACTTTCTTTGTAGAATTTTCTCAACAATTAAGATAGCTGCCCCTAGGTAGCTACTATATGTTGTTGTATAATGTGGTCCTGGGAGGTAGTTATTTTTAGATAATATTAGTTAAATAGGAAAGACTGAATTCAAATTTTATTAATTTTATTGCAATATTTTTTAAAAAGCATAAAAATGCTAACTAAATAGCAGAAGAGCAGTAATTTTCTTTCATATTACCACACTAAATTTAAGTAAAACACCAGTAGGATAGCAAAAAAAAAAAAAGAAACAGAAATATCCAGGTGCGAACTACTTCTGCTTTGATGGATGCTCAATGTGTTATGATGTTAGATGATGAACACGGTATTTATTGAACACTCAGTATATATGGTGGGTTCTGTGAAAGGTGCTATTCATTTATTGTGATCCCTGCTTTGTGGATGAGGAGACTGAGACTGAGAGAGTGAATAACTCATCCGGGGTCATGCTTACAGTCAGCATTAGAGCCAGGATTGGAATTAAGATGCCCCTTCATTCAACTTCATTCAACTTGCTCTCTTCTTTACAGTGCTGGTTTAATTTGACAGCAGTCTAGGGCCAGTCCAGGAGCTACCTGCAGGAGCAAGACCAGATTCATAGACATGCAACCTGTATAGTCCCACTTAGAACCCCCCTGATACCCGCTCCTATCCTCACTGCATTCCCTTCCCCCAACCAGTTTAAGGCTCTGCTATCACTATTTTGACAATTTGAAATTCTTAGTAACTTTGAATAAGCAAACTTGCATTTTCGTTTTACACTGAACTTTGCAAATTAAATAACCAATTCTATTCAGTATAGAAATTCCACAGAATACTTTCACCTTGATTATTGCTTATTGAATTATTTTCCTTTTGAAAAAGATAATCCAAGCAGACTGAATTTTCCTCCGTATAGGGATATGAATTAGCAACTTGTTCCTGTAATCCCATTTCTAATCTACATAATTTCAAACTGACTCTACTAGGCATAGACTCTTTGGTCAGTTTTTTTTTGGGATCTTTAGTCCCTCTTAAGGTTGACCTATGGATTAACCCTTTTATTTTTCTCTTTTTCAGAAGGCTTATCACAGGGTTCTCTCTTTCTTCAGCTAATTTCCTCCCTCAGATTGTGATTGAGGCTGTTAATTCAATTATTCATTAAAAAGTAATGAAAAAAATACTTACTGCAAAGGTTGCACACTGTCACCAGCACACTCTTCAAAGACCAGTTGCAATTCGACCTTTTGATCAGAAGAAATGCACCAACCTGATGCTGCACTTGCTCTTCCAGTTGTTCCTGTTATATTATTTATTTCCTCTCTTTTTGACCAGCTGGAGTTATAATATGCTTTGAGTCGCTAAAGGGGCTTTTAAGAAAGCAAGAGAAATGCATTTATGTCATATGGAGGTTGCGTGCTAATTACTAATCTGACAGGGTGTAATAACAGTACGAAAGCATCAGTAAGAGAAAAAAATGAGCAGAATATGCAATTATCTTATGAAAGAGTTTCTTTCCTGGAGGGAGAAATCTGCATGTTTACCATCTGTAACAAAGGAGATGTGAACTACATAAGTGAATTACCCCAGCTCTGAGTTCATGTGTATATGTAATGGGATGAACTTGAAATGACATTAAGTAATTTCATTATTGTCAAAAAATACAAATAAAGAACACTAAAAGGCATGACTAATATAGTGAACTCCAAAGATGGATTTTCAAAGTTTTTTCAAAGGGCTACAGTAATTTATATGAGAAATCAAATGTGATATAAAGTAATATACATTTTCCCAGATTACAAAAATATATATTGCATAAAGCTATCATTATTCTTTATAACACATGTGAACAGAATATCCACAATATGCTGTAAGGAAAAGGAATCAGTCCATTAACACTGCAGCCTAAGAGTCAGAAGTTTCATTTCTCATGGCACATTTAGCCACAGAGTTAAATAATCTGGAAAATGACCCTGGTTAATATTTAGAAAGAGTCTTACTTTAAATGACCATAGTGCAAAACGGTTTTCATGCCAGCCTCAAACATAACATTTAAGTGTTTGCCTGAGTCTCTGTAAGTCTCTTTCAAGGACTTTCCAAAAAAAGAAAAAGAAAAATACTCTTCCCCAAAAAGTTGCCATGTTAATAGAGAATAGAAATATTACTTCAATAATACAATCTAATATTTCTCCATCCTTAAAAGTACAAATTTTTGTCTTTCTGTTTCTAACATTCAGGATGCTAAATAATCCATATGGCTATATGTTTACTCTTTTAATGAGAATGAATGTACTTTAAAGATATGGAGACACAGACATGTATTAATCTTAACTGGTCTGTGAATCCTAACAGCTAGTAGTATCGCATCTCTCTTTTGTAGGGTCAGAACAACTCCACCTCTATCCTCTTAGCATTCCGATTGGGTCTGAGAATTAAATTTACAAAAATTAGATTAACAAGAGAAAAGCAAAATGTAAGTTTTATATGGCATGTGAGCCCTCATAAAAAAAAGGAAGACCTAAAGAAGCAGTTAGAATCTATTACTTATATATAGTGAATAAGACAAAGAGTAGTAAAAGTGAAGAAGCAACTAAATTATATGTGGAGACTTCAGAGTTATATTAGCAATGTCTGCATAGAATTCTCTCAGTTTCGACTTCCCGTCCTTGAGGATAAGGACGTTGTCTCTTTCTAATACAGGAAGAGCACCTTTCACATGGGAATTTCTTGTTCTGCTTTTGAGAAACAGCCCAAGGTCAATGTGATCTTTTCACATCTGCTATTTTTCAAGTGTCTTTAACTTAAGTCGTCAATATGCAGGAATAGCACATTTTAACCCCTTCACCATCCACCTAGAGCACTCAGACAGCTGCAGAGAACTGTTCAAAAGATTATGCTTTAGCTTGGGCTACATGCCAGAACAATGATTAAAAGATTGGAAGACAAGCATATTTAGGAAAAAGAAGTGCCTTAAATTACCTATGCTGTTGTTGCCTTTACTCTTTCTTTCTCCTGAGATTATTTCATGACTTCAAGTATGCCTTGCATGCTTATTTAATTTTGTAATATTTTTGTTTTGTAATTTTTAAAAAAACGTATGAAATATAAGTCAAACATTAATTGTATTTAGTAGATGTCTCTGAGCTCTAATGTAAATGACTTGTGGTGTGGTGCCTCAGAGGAGCATTCTTCCCTTACACACTGTCCATACGTGACATCAGTTTATTAGGTTGGTGCAAATGTAATTGCGGTTGGACTGTGAATTTTAAATCATTATAACTAGGCTCAAACACATCTTTATTAGTCAAAATAGCAACCATTACAATCCACACCTTTTTGCCAGCAAGAAATAAGTTTGTTTGTTCTTGTAGTGTAAAAATCATGCTTTGGGACTTGACGAACTCTTGGAAAGCATGTTCGCCATCCTGCTGGTTATGGAAGCATTTTTCCTGACAAAAGTTGTCGCGATACTTGAAGAGGTGGTATTCAGTTGGTGAGAAGTCATGTGAATATGGTGGATGAGGCAAAACTTTGTAACCCAATTCATTCAACTTTTGAAACATTGGTTGTGCAACGAACGTGTGGTCAGGCATTGTCATGGAGAAGAATTGGGCCCTTTCTGTTGACCAACGCCGGCTGCGGGCATTGCAGTTTTCAGTGCGTTTCATCAATCTGTTGTGCATACTTTTCAGATATAGTGGTTTCACCAGGATTCAGAAACTGTAGTGGATCAGACTGGCAGCAGACCACCAAACAGGGACCATGACCTTTTCTTGGTGCAAGTTTGGCTTTGAGACGTACTTTGGAGCCTCCTGTTGGTCCAAACACTGAGCTGGTCATTGCTGGTTGCCGTATAAAATCCACTTTTCGTCACATGTCACAATTTTTTTTTTAGTTGTTTTTTTTTTTTTTTTTTTTTTTTTTTTTTTTGAGACAGAGTCTCCTTCTGTCGCCCAGGCTGGAGTGCAGTGGCACGATCTTGGCTCACTGCAATCTCCACCTCCTGGGTTCAAGCAATTCTCCTGTCTCAGCCTCCTGAGTAGCTGGGAGGGGTACAGGCGCACGCCACCCCACACGGCTAATTTTTGTATTTTTAGTAGAGACGAGGTTTCGCCATATTGGTCAGACTGGTCTCGAACTCCTGACGTCAGGTGATCCAGCCACCGTGGCCTCCCAAAGTGTTGGGATTACAGGCATGAGCCACCACGCCCAGCCAGTCATGTCACATCTTATCGAAAAATGGTTCATTGTTGTTGCATAGAATAAGAGAAGACAACACTTCAAGACAATGATTTCTTTGATTTTCACTCAGCTCTTGAGGCACCCAATTATGGAGCTTTTTCACCTTTCCAATTTGCTTCAAATGCTGAATGACCATAGAATGGTAGACGTTGAATTCTTCAGCAACTTCTCGTGTAACTGTAAGAGGATCGCCTTCAACGATTGCTCTCAATTGGTTGTTGTCAACTTCCAATGGCCTGCCACTACACTCCTCATCTTTAAGGCTCTCCTCCTTTTCAAAACTTCTTGACCCACCACTGCACTGTACGTTCCTTAGCAGTTCCTGGACTAAATGTGTTGTTGATGTTGTGAGTTGTCTCCGCTGCTTTATGACCCATTTTGAACTCAAATAAGAAAATCGCGGCTGGGCGTGGTGGCTCATGCCTGTAATCCCAGCACTTTGGAAGGCTGAGGCGGGCAGATCACGAGGTCAGGAGATCGAGACCATCCTGGCCAACATGGTGAAACCTGTCTCTACTAAAAATGCAAAAATTAGCTGAGCGTGGTGGCGGGCGCCTGTAGTCCAGCTACTCAGGAGGCTGAGGCAGGAGAATAGCTTGAACCAGGGAGTTAGAGGTTGCAGTGAGCCAAGATCATGCCACTGTACTCCAGCCTGATGACATAGCAAGACTCTGTCTCAAAAAAAAAAAAAAAAAAGAGAGAAAAAAATCACTCAGATTTGCTTTTTGTCTAACATCATTTCCATAGTCTAAAATAAATATAAAATAAACAACAAGTAATAAGTCATCAGCAAAATAAAGTGAGAAATGCACATTAAAATGATATAAACATAACCACATTTATTTGAGAATGTGTTCCGATATCAAACAGCAAATTTCAGCAATGCAAAAACTGCAATTACTCTTTCACCAACCTGCACCATCTGCATTTTCCACAGAAAATGTTTCTGAGAAGAAAACAAAAATAATATTATCTGAAAATAATTTATAAAGCAGTTTTTACATTGTAATTCCATCTTTGGGTATTATTTTTTCTTTGGGCTGATGTATGTCATCTTCTAATCCCACATATGTCTAATTCTTATTCTAGTATTGCTGTACAATTCATAATTTGAAAAATTACTTAAATATATGCATTTACTATAATAGCCCTGAAATGTGAAAAAAAAGCAGTACCCAGTATAGCTTATGCAACATGACATAAGTTTTATAAAAAGTACATGTAAACATGCATAAAGAAATCCAGAAACATGTATTATATACAAAAAGATGTGATGTATCCAGTGGAGTTTAATCCTACCAGTGTTATCACCATTTGTAAACATTTGGAAGACTGGGATCCGATCTGCTCAACTAGAGTTTTTAAGTGACTAGGATGGATCACTGCTTATTAAGCACACAATATAAAAAAGACATGTTTGTCTTGCTTGGTTGATTTCATGCTCGTAGAGTAAGCAAAAAGGAAATGCACCATCAGGCAGGTGAACAGTATTCCTCATATGTGAACCTTTTGAGAACTGGATGAGTTTTTAGTTATCCCGTATTATGTTTCTCATGTTTCATTACTTTCTTTTATTGAGTCTGGTCTCTTGAAAGTTTCTCTCTGAATATATTTAAGGATGAACTCATTGACGTTTTTTTCTTCCATTCATCTAGATTATTCAGCATCTTGGAAATAATGACAGGAAATAAGTGTGATTCTAATTTCAATATTGCTTTATTGATAAAACTTTACATTTACTTCAACTTCATTTTATTGATGACAATGGATATTTCACGAAGATGTACATGAGTCATCCCCTAGCCCAGTGATAAAGTGGGAGAAGGTGAAAATGCAATAATTTCATTCCTCCTTTCCTTCTGCACCAATTCCCAATCCCCTTAGAATTTTATTGTGCTATGTAAAAAAGGACACATAGGGCTTCACATAGGTGAGGCATAATTTCCTTTCTGAATTTTTGAACATTTGAACTGTTTCATTCCCCAGAATATTCACCGTGGCATCACTTTTGAGGCTCTAGCTGTCTCACATTGTGATGTTTCTTGCCCAAGCTCAAGTTTTGTACTATGCCTTATTTTCCTGTGATCACCTTCATATGAATGTTTCAAGGATGTTTATAATTACGTCAGTAATAAGGGCTGAATATTATCACTCCTTCAGTCAAAAACTATTTTTGAACATCAGAAAAGCTTGATTTATATCATGTATTAGTGTATTTATTTTGAAAAATAGAACTGCTTAAACCTGATAAATAGCTTTTTGTGTAGTATAAGCCACATTTCTGATTATCATATTCTATTACTATAACATGATTTTTGGCAAGAAATTACTTATTAAACATAGCCAAAAGTCCACTACTGAGAGTGGTGACATAGAACAGTTTTATTATTGTGCTTAGTATACTGCCACCTATTTTGTTGCAGGTGAAATTCATTAAGAAAATTAGAGAATTTCAACTGTCATGTCATGAAAGAGGCAAAAATCTTTTCAGCTAATATCTGATTTCCTTAAAAATTTACTATCTTTTGAAATATCGTGGTCTATCTCTGTAGATTATGACACCCATTCTGTAGACTCAGAATTTATCTTCCTGTTCAAATTTGAGTAATGCCAAAATGTTTTCCAATGAAAAGCAAGATATTTAATAAGATTGTTTGTTGAGAACTGAGTATTAATATATTCTAAAAGTCTTTTTAGAACTCTATTTAGAATTTTAGAAATAATGTAGTCAAAAGATTCTTTGCCTACATTATTTCATTTGATTTCCAATGGAATCCCATAGCAACTGTATTATTGTCCCCACTTCACAAGAAATGCAGATTCATATACAGTAAAAGGTAGGGCCAAATCCAAAATATATGCTCATCTTACAATTGTGTGATTATTAATGAGCAACATAATTAGTGATGCATACTTTATTCATGGTATTTTTTGTTTTCAATATAATGGAAGAAAATGTTACTCCAAAAAAAATTGATCACAGCTTAATGTTTCTCTTATGAGATCTTCCTTCTATTTTTATCTTATCTATTCACTTTTTAAAAAACCCTTCTATATTCTCTACTCCATCTCAGGGCTCATCTCTACATCATAGTTTTCCAGGTACATTGCCCACTTAAAATATGTTCATTTTGTTATTAATTCTGAGTTCATATTCTCAAGAGAAGAAAGCTGATAGGCTAAATTCATATTTTGGTGTGATATCAGGACATAATGGCACTGGTCGATCTGTTTGTTCTGTTGTTGCCTCTGAGTTACATTTGTTTCTGGTACAATCAGCTTAGGTTGAATATAGAGGACCATGTGGCAAGCATTGTTACCTAAAATTTACCCCCTTCACTAGGTATCTATAGGATGATCATGGACGCCTGGCATAACCAATGGGAAAGAGGGGGTTAGGTGAGCAGATGATGGGTGAATATTTTTCTGATATTTATCATGATAAAACTTAATCAGGAATGTCATATTTTAAAATGATAAACTGCATTAAAAGACACAGCACTGCTAGGAATGACAAATGGCAAATGCTTCTTTCAGGGCTCAATTTTTATTTGATACTGAGAGCTTATACTGCCACTCAGATAAGCTCAGTACAGAAAACTTTCAAAATGGAATCCTTTGTAATTCCTGGAAATTCCCTGGGAGGACCTCTGGATGAGGATACTTGACTGTTACCTAAATCTTCTTCCATTTCTACAATTTATATTCTTAGTTGCATTTCTTTAAGATTTTGTACTACAGAACACTTTAAAGTATAAGCACAGCATTTTTGCTGTTCTAGTACGAACTTGACTTTTTTTATCTGAAGAGCAGAGATCGAGAAATGTAAGCAGTTTGTAAAAGGTCATCTAACCAAGAAGAGCGATGAATTCAAATACTTGTATTATCAGATCTGTTAGTTTTTCTTAAACCACCCTTCTTCTATCCAAAGCTAAATTTAAAAATATTCTAAATAATTGGACACACCTATTATTCAATTTGTTTGGAAACAAAGTGAACTAACCGAATACTCTGATTTCTGAAAATATTTTATATATCAACTCTTTGGGTAGTTAATTTTCAATATTGAGGAAACAGTAAGCTATATTATAATGAAAACCAAAACTTGTTTGAAATCTTTCTTTGATACATAAGGAACTCCAGTGATACTTTTATGAACATTTTTGCTGTGTTCAGAGTGCTTCTTCTTCCACAATTTTAAATTGAAACCTAATTTCTGATGTGGCAGTATTAAGAGGTAGGGCCTTTAGGAGGTGATTAGATTATGAAGTCTCTGCCCTTATAAAGGGGGCAGTGTCCTTATAAAAGAGGCTTGAGTGAGACCTTTTGCCCTTCCACCATGTGCGAACACAGCTAAAAGGCACTGTCTAGGAGAAGCAGACCCTTACCAGACTCTGAATCTGCTGGTGCTTTGATTTGGACTTTCCAGTCTTCAGAACTGTGAGCAGTAAGTTTTTATTGTTTATAAATTACCAAGTTGATGGTATTTGGCTATAACAGCCAAAATGGACTAAGACAGAAATTGGTACAAAGAAATGGGGGTACTGTATTTGCTGTAAGAAATACCTTGAAATGTGGAGTGGCCTTGGAACTGGTTAATTGGTGGAGGCTGGAGGTACATACTAGAAAAAGCCTACATCATCATGAATGGAGCATTAAGGGCGATTTGGGTGAGGGCTCAGAAGAGAGCTATAGAGAAACTCTCAGTCTTCTTAAGAGATTGCCTGAGTGGTAATGATCAGAATGTTTGTAGGCATATGGATAGGGAAGACTATTCTGGTGAAGTTTCAGCTGCAACCAAGGAACATGTTATTGGAAACTGAAGGAAAGGCCATCCTTTTTATAAAGTGGCAAAGAACTTGGTTGAATCATGTTAGTGCTCTAGCGCTTTGCGGAAGTGATGAAATTGGATAGTTAGCAGAATAAATATCTAAGCAAGGTATTGAGAGGTTGAGGGTATGGCGTGGTCTCTCTTGACTATTTACAGTAAAAGGGAAGAAGAGAGAACAAATTAAAAGTGGAATTTATAATGAAAAGGAATCTGTATTTAAGATTTGAAAAATTCTTAGCCTGACCATGTTGTAAAGTATGAAAAAGGGAGTTTCAGAGAGAACACCAAGGACCTGGCCAAGCAAACCTTGTGAGCAACTCTTGATTAAGGAGATTTGTATGAATAGAAAGAATCTAGGTGCTGCTCCTCAGAAAAAATAAAGAATGACCCTGGGCCAGGCATGGTGGCTCACACCTTTAATTCCAGCACTTTGGGAGGCTGAGGCAGGCAGATCACTTGAGGCCAGGAGTTCAAGACCAGCCTGGCCAACATGGTAAACCCTGTCTCTACTAAAAATACAAAAAATTAGCCAGGTGTGGTGGCACATGCCTGTGGTCCCAGCTACTCATGAGGCTGAAGTGTGAGAATCACTTGAACCTGGGATGCAGAGGTTACAGAGAGCCAAGATTGTGAATTGTGCTACTGCATTCCAGCCTGGGCTACAGAGTGAGACTCTGTCTCAAAAAACAAAAACAAACAAACAAACAAACAAACAAAAAACAAAAACCAGAATGACCCTGAAGGCATTTCAGAGAGCTTCAGGACTACCTTTCCCATCACAGGCCCAGAATTCCAGGGTCTTCAGAGGCAGAGTGATTTGAAGGGTCTTACCCCCACCTGTGACTCCAGCAGGTAGAAGTTCACTTCCAGCTGCCCCTCCAGAGGGCACATGTAATTTACCTTGATAGTGTTTGAAAGGTGCTATTTCTGTTGGCATGCAGAGTACACAAGCTCTAGGCACATAATTATCTCCACTTAGGTTTCAAATAATACTCCAGAGAGACTTGAAGCTTAAGAATAATCTCTGACTTGATGTCAACCTTCCAAACAAACTGGGGTGGTAAATGGGCCCTCAAGTCTCCTGGCAGCCATGTCCCCATGGTTTTGCTGGGCACAGCTCATGCAGCAGCTCTGATACATGGAAGTCACACTCCTGCATCTCTCCCAGGCAGGAGTTGCACACTGGTAGCTCTACTGGTCTCTTGTCTTGGGAATATCCTTCCCTCCACAGTTCTCCTGGGCCTGTTGTTTGCCCTGTTGGATTTTGGACTTTCATGAGACCAGGTACCTCTTGCTTTCTTACTATTTCTCACTTTTGAAATGGGAATGTCTATTTATGTCTGCTTCACCATTGTATTTTAGAAACATATCACTTGTTTGATTTCTCAAGCTCACAGCTGGGAAGAAATTTGCTTCAGAATGAATCACAACCTTAAGTTTCACTCATATCTTATTTAGATGATATTTAGATGCATATTTGGACTTAGACTTTAAAGTTGATGCTGGAATAAGATAAGACTTTTGGAGTATTTGAATGAAGTAAATGTATTTTGCAAATAAGAAGGAAGTTAACTTTGGGGGACCAGGGACAGAATGCTGTGATTTTAATGCTTATCCCCTAAAATTTATAGATTAACACTTAATCCTCAAGTGACAGTATTAATAAATTAAGCTTTTAAGAGGTGATTGGGTCAGGAGGGCTCTTCCCTCCTGAATATGATTTCTTCCCTAATAAAAGAGGATTGAGGGAGACCTTTTGCCCTTCTGCCATGTGAGGTGCTGTTTAGAGCAACTGACTCTCACCAAACACTAAATCTGCTGGTTACTTGATCTTGGACTTCCCAGCCTCCAGAACTGTAAGTAATAAATATCTATTTTTTTGTAAATTACCCAGTCTAAGGAATTTTGTTATAGCACCCCAAACAGTTCTAAGACAACCTTTGAATCCAGAAAACTGGATTCAGTCTATGCATAACCCAGAAGCAGTTTTTGTTTTCAGTGAATACTTAAATACTTAAGTTTTCTTACTTGTCGTTCATCCTTTTTGCATACAAGTGAAGTGCAGAAATTTTCACTTGCATAGCCCCTGTATATCTGTTCAACTTAGCTTGTTCTTAAGGATCACATAGGGGACAAAATGAAAGAATATAGAAGTGTGTGCTATCAGCTGTGCAAGTTTTCACTTTCCTGATTCTGGAATCTGCAGTAGGTTCCATGGGTCCCTGGAAAAGTTCTTGGCCACATCTAAGTCAGTAAATTGCTTCAGTAGGTTACACCCTTCTTTGTTGGCTTTCCATTTTTATGTCTCAAAGACAAGAGGTATATATTAATTTAAAAAATTGTACTAGCACTGTCCAAAGTAATATAATGTGGGCCACAAATGCATTTGTCGATTTTCTAGTAGCTACATTTCAAAAATAAATCCAATTAAATTAAAGATTAAGATAATTTTTAAAATATATTTTATTTGCCTAGTGTTCAAAAATATTTTCATTTCAAATAAAATCAATATGACATGATTAATGAAATATTTTATATTCCTTTCCTTCATACTAAGTCATTGAAATCCATGTGTATTTTACTGTTATAACACTGTTCAGTTTGAACTTGCCCAATTTCACATTCCCAAATACCACATGTGGCTCCTGGCGAACATATTGGATGCTGCGGGTCTAAACTCTCACTTCTAATCATTTTCTGAGGCAAAGGAGTAGGAATGATTTTGCTATGACCAATTAATACATTATAGAAAAAGTTTACAGTGATCATTTTCACATACTGTAGTTTTATGTGTTAAGATATGTGGAAATCTTTTATGTAAATGCATATTACTAAATTATGACAGGAAATGAAAAAAAATTGACTATAGGCACTAAAGTAAGTAGAGGTATATTCATAAGATAATACCAAATTATCCAAATGATATTATAAACAAACACGACTATATAAATATAGCCCTTATATTATTAATTGAAAAAAAAGATGACATCTGTATTTTCCGTAGTAAATATTTCCGAGAATAAAACAAAAATAATCTTAACTGAAAATAATTTATAAAATGGTTTTTAAGTGGCAATTCCATCTGTGTATATTAATTATTTTTGTGCTGACATAGGTCTTATTCTAATTCCACATATGTCTAATACTCATTCTAGTATTACTGTACTATTCATAATTTGAAATATTAACTAAATGTATGCATTTACTATAATAACCGCTTAAAGTGAAAAAAAGCAGTATGCAGGATAGTTTATGTAATATGATCTAAGTTTTATAAAAAGTATATGTAAACATGCATGAAGAAATCCAGAAACATATGTCATGTTATTAGCAACTGTTTTCTCTTGGTATTAGAATGGGAAGGCCAAAAAAGAAATAACACCACTTTTCTTGTTGTGTTTAATATATTTTTAGTGAGAAATTTATGGGAGATTTTTACATTTTTGTTTTCATATCTTTCCAGTTAAATAAAAATCTAAAAGGAAAGCTATCTAAAGTAGATACTTATTTGTGTCTTTATTTATGTTGCCATCATACATGTCATTTTGGTGCTCTGTCCTGTCTTTCCAAGGCTATCGAAAATTCAAACAGATGCTACGAGTGTTCTAGACTATTTAGATAGTCCAAATAGGGGAAAATGTAAACATTTATTCACAGAAGGCACTAAATAATGTAATAATCACATAACATTTTCATTTCTGACAAGCTTCTGAAGATCTAGGAAATACTAAAATGACAGTTAAAATAATAATAATTCAGTATTTGATGTGTTCAACCAGAGTAGATTCACTCTCCCTCTCAGAGACTAGAGCCCTTGATTTTCTGGAGAAGCAAATGGTTTATGGTTGTTTAAAATTATTGGGACTATTATATTCATTTACTGATAAAGGATATGTTCATGATGGTTTTTTTTTTTTTTTTTGGTCTTTAAAAAGTAAGTTTAGTAAGCAAGGGTGATTTTTAAAAATTAAAAATAAAACTCTTTAGAGGCCAAGTGTTAACAGGATTGGTGGAAATAACCATCTATACTATAAAAGAGAGTGGAAACCCAGCAAAATCAAGATCACAGGAGCATTTAACTGTTTTTTCCCTGAGTATCTGCTAATCTAAGTAAACCGAGCTTTGAGGTTTGTTGCTCCGCTGGGCAGAAGGAGGAAAGTCAAAGTCAGTGTCTGCCATCTGGGGCTGGGAACCCCATGGGAAACCAAACCCACATTAAATAGGGACCACAAAATGCCACGCCCTCAGGAAGAGAGGAAGGACTCATGATTCCCATTGTCAGAAATGGGGATGAAGGTGGAAGGAAAGTCTCCATGTACTGTCTAGAGAAGAAGAAAAAGGAAAACAAGTAAACAAAGCAATCTTGAGTTGTGGCTATGGGCTGTAAATTATTATAACATCTTTGTCTTTTACTCTCAATGAATTAGTGGCCCTTATGGGGCTTGAGACAGAAAAGTAATAGGATCTGAATTAAGTTCTAGAAGTATCCCCTGGGCTGCTGTGTGGGAGATGGTCTATAGGAGGAAGGGTGGATGCAAAGAGGCCAGTTAGTTCGCTGGTGCAATAACTTATCAAGAAGATGTCCAGACCACAATGACAAGTAGAAATGATAAAAAGAGTCATGCCTAGACATTTTTCACAGGTACAACATTTTGGATTTTCTGACTATGAATATGGAATGTGAGCAAAAGGAGTCTGACACCAAAGTAGTTGAAAACACATACACCCTTCAATCCAGCAATTTCACTCAAAAGTATATTTGTTAGAACTATTCCTACTTATGTCAGCAAGGAGATCTGTACAAGAATATACTATTAAACATTGTTTATTATTGTTCATTTTGTTCCCATTACCAGAGGAATAAACAAAATACAATATTTTACAATCATGTAATACTATTCAACAATTAAAGTGAAATAAATCTATGTCCATTAACATGGCTAATCTCAAAAATAAAATGGAAAAAATTAATAAGTACAGTATAACACTTTATGCAAAGAATAAAATCCAAATTTAATATTATACATTGAATAGAAATATATACATTTTAGGAAACACACAGAAACTTGAATTAGACGGACATGCCTAGCTTCATGGAAGCAATAATTTTTTGGCAATGAAGACAATTAAGAAAATCAAGATGAGTATCTTGGCATTGGTTACAATAATCTACATTTCTCTATATTTTCTAAAAAGATTCATTACATTTATCAAAGTCTTGGAAAAAAAGCTGTTTCAAAGAGAATTCTAACCAATAAAATTGCAAGTCACTTGACGGCATGGATATAATTTTATATAGTTAGCTCCCAAGCTTGTAGCTACTCAAATTATGTTCAACAATTTCAGCAAAATTCGTCGAGAACCTACTGTGATCAGAGAATCCTCAAAGAACGGGATTCTGACCCCACGAAACACAATCAGGTTATGTTTCTTGTTTTTCTTAAAACAGATACATTCCTCAAATGGGATAAGTAAAATTGTAGGCAAAGTATGGGACATGTGTATTTATTCTGAATGGGGGCAATCTTTGATGGGGGAAAAAATCCATATAATATTAATTTAGAAATGTATTACGTTGTTAGAATAAAAACAGAGGTTGCCAATTCCACAGAATCATAGAAAGAAAGCCATATTTCAAGTGAGTAAATTCAGTAAGTAAAGCAGCAAACTCTTCAGAACTGAATCTCAGACCTAAAAAAAAGTGTATTCTGTGTTTTTTTTCCCAAAAGCTAGTTGAGTTGCAGCACCTGAATTTTATATGTCATTCTTAAGCCTTAAAATCGTGGATGTTAAGCCTATCTTAATTAAACATGACGTAAAATGTTAAATAACATATGTATGAATATTTTATGTGTGAAAACATTTTGAAAGCTCTGCTATGCCACACAAATCTAAGGTACCCAGTTTTATAAACATAGATAGATATATGAATCTAAGAACAATAATAAAAGCTATTTTAATGCTCACTTACTTAGGGTCATGCATAATAGAAATTAAACTATTAAACTACCTCTGTGCATTACATTATTAAATTATTACTTCAGACCTAAGAGGTTGTAAGTACTAACATGAATGCTGCATTAAAGATAATTAGCATGAAGTTTAGGGAGAATAAATGACTAGCTCAGTTAGTAAGTGGTTCTCTGAAGTTCTGTAACCCAGTTACTGGAACCCCTGTAGTTACTGAGTAGGGTATTTGTGGTCCTTTCTATGGACGGCAGGATAACCTGATGGTTAAAATTTTGGGGGACCTGGGTTCGAACTCTAGCTCAATGACTTACCATCTTAATTGCCTCAAGGGTGTTAAATTCTTAAGCTTTATGTTTCTTATTTATGAAATTATTGATTATACTACAATAGACATGTATGTTGTATGAATAGTGTGAGAATTAAAGTAATGCCTAGGTTTAAAATAGTTCCTAGTGTCTAGTAAACATATGTTCAACTTCTGTTATTACATATTTTTAAACATTATTATCAAGTAGCTATGGAGTTAATGTTCAGCCTCAGGTTAACAAATTAATTGAGTAACAGTTAACAGACAAGAACAAATAAGGAAACTTCCCGTAATCTCAGATTATTCTGTCATGAATAGTTTTGTCATCATTTGGGATAAAGCCCTTTCTTAAAACATTCAACATGTTAAAAATCATATTCAAAATCTAAGTACTAATAATATTCTAGTATTAAGCATAGATTAAATTTTGATTGTTGTAACTATCTTTTGTGAATATTGAGAAATGATCACAATAGCATTTTTGTTCATGTGTTTAATTATTCATGGCATTCCATTTGAAGGCCAACAATATTAGAGTGTGAAAACTGATGATTTAATTTTTATTAGTTCTCAATTCTTTCTTTTCTTCCTTGTATTATCTTACTTACCTTATCTAATCTTAAAACCTCACAGTTTTTTGAGAGAGATACTCTGCGAAAATTCACAGAATTTATCATGTCATGAAGAGAATAGCATATTTGTAAGATACACTGTTCTGCTGCTTTATTTGATCAAAAGTAAATCTTACTGATGATTATCACCATGTGCAAAAATAATTTTGTGAAGTATTATATTTCTGTTGGCATCCTTTCTCATATTCAAGTGATAAAATTGATTTCCAAATATCCTTTCACAAATCCCTAAAACAATAGCCAGTTTACACTTGAAATACACATGATCTCGCTCTGTTTCTCTCTCTGTCTTTCCTTAATGCCTTCACCTATCCATTAAGTACACATATAATTAGGCCTTAATTGTATTTTCTATATCAATTTCTCTTTCGCTATTTCTTAAAGGAATTCTCTGTGAAACTAGACTACATATACATTTCTGTCTTCTCAAAATGGCCACAAATTTGGAAAAACTACAATCTACTCACTTTTCCTTAAATATGTAAATAATCAGCATAGTCTAAAATCACCATTGTCTCTAGTAAAATACTCTTGTTCAAATTAAAAGCTAAACTTTTTATAAGTTCAAGCAGCAGCATGCTCTTCTATGAATTTAATTCACTTTGCACTAAAAACCTCTCATATAAGCAAGCAGGCCACATCATGACCTGATTACGAAAGTCAAATCTTAATGCCCCTTGGAAGAAATTATCTCATGAAAATAAGACTTGAAAGAATGAAAATAACCAAGCTCTTTTAGCTTGATCTCTGAGCTCTTTTAGGTTGATGGTTACCTGATCTCTCATTAATTCCTTAGTGTTCAAGCCCTCACCGCTATCTTCCGTTAAAGTAAAATTCCTGAAAAACAAACAATAAAAACACATTGTATTTATAATAGAAGAATTCTATCAAAACTGATCATGATTTTTAAAAATGCCATTAGAGAGAAAATACAGCACACTAGATGGAAATATGGACTCTGACATTTAATAGACATGGATAAATACCCCGTCTACTAATTTAATAGGTCTCTTGTATCCCAACCTAATTCAAGATCCAACTCTAGTGCTTTCTTATCCATGAAGCTCTCATACAGAACACTACAGACCAACTTCTTCCCCAAATAAGTTTTTCTCTTCTCATTTTTATTTCATACATAATATTCATCTCTATAGGATATATAATTATATATATAATTTAAGTTTAGGCTTCCCATCTAGACTATGAGCAACTTGATGAAAATGGGGTGATATTCCCCACAGTGGTGCCTGGCACAGTGCCTTGCACAAAGGTTGTATTCATAAATATTTCCTTCTCATATTGCTAAAAAGCCATCTAGGTTCAAGATAGAAGATTAAAATTTTGATCTCATAAGTTTATGAGCAGCAGAACAAAATGTAAGTTTTTAATCAAAAACAATTTTAACATTTGTTTTCATGATTGCTAAAAACAGTATTTAAATCACATTCAAAAATAAGCAAGTTTACCACAAAAGCAAATAAATGAAACAGAGGAAGGAAAAGGAGATGAATTTTACTTAAGAGCTACATTAATCAACATAGGAGTGGTTATTTGATCTAGATCAAATAATCCTAACTATGTGTGTTTAATTTTAAGACCCAATCTATTTCTACCCAAGACTTTAGATGTGTAAGTTATCTTTCTTTTGTCTCCAGGTAGAAAGAAAAAAAGAAGTGCTATTTTCAGGCAGAGAAATGTACAATTTTAAAAATGGTCTAGCATTTTCAAATTATTTATACCTTACCAACTTATATTGCTTGTGCCAGATGTACAGATTTTACATCTGAATAATAAAACCATGTGTCCTTGTCTGTGAAGCTGAAATTTTACTTCAGCAGTAGGAATTTGACACCATTAGTGACTACTCCAAATGTACTTGCACATTTCAAACAAATTCACAAGCTAGAATATTCTGTTCTCCCTCCTGCCCAGGGATTTGTACATGCTACTTCTTCAGCCTGGATGCTTCTTCCTTACTCAGTCCACAACACGTACCTGCCTTTTGCCTCAGCAACATTTATTTATTTTTCAGCTCCCTTTAAATCTCACTTAATCAGAATAAAACCTTCCTCAATTTCCTCTATTCCTAGGCCAGCATCATTTATGATGAACTCTCCTAGTGATTGCTTCTGATTTGGAATTCTTATCTAGTTGTTAAATGTGGGGGTCACTGTGTGACAATTTCATTTACTCCTTGCCTCCTCTATTAGACTGAAAGCTAGAGAGGTGATGATGAGTCATAGATGCTTTTATTCACAGTGTCAGATACACAGTAAGGTAGGTACCCTTATTAAATAATAAACTGGAATTATTTACTTGAAAATATCAATTCATTTTTAAAGTACTGTGCAGCCTCTTCACTTCAGTGTGGCATGAATACCAAATTATATTATATATCAAATTATGTTAATAGAATTTTTAAAAATTGTCTACAGCAATGATTTATTTAATGCATTTGGCCTTTTTTCACTTATTCACCTCAGATTATGTTGTGCTCTTCACAAACCACCTATTATCAGGATGATGGAGTCTCGCTCTGTCACCCAGGCTGGAGTGAAGTGACACGATCTCGGCTCACTGCAAACTTCACCTCCTGGGTTCAAGCAATTCTCCCGCCTCAGCCTCCCGAGTAGCTGGGACTACAAGCGCGAGCCACTATACCCAGCTAATTTTTGTATTTTTAGTAGAGATGGGGTTTCTCCATGTTGGTGGGGTTGGTCTCTTAACTCCTGACCTCAAGTGATCCAACAACATCGGCCCCCCAAAGTGCTGAGATTACAGGCGTGAGCCACCGCACCCAGCCCAGATAAATGTATTCTTATTTCTTCCACTCTTCTCAAAACTATCTACGTTTTTGCCCAAAGCTTCCAATAGACCTTTCTCTCCCGCTATTTTTAACATTGATTTTATCGAGGCCAGTCTCTTTAGGAGTCAAGAGCTTGTAGACACTGTCCCTGTTTCAGTTGGTCACCGAAAATACTCAGTCCCCTCAACACCCCCTCTTCCTCATTTAGCCAGATTCTGCTTATTTTAAACATTCAACTTCCATCCCTCCTTCCCGCTGACTACCCACCACACTCTGTTCATTCGCTTCAACTCTCAATTGCTATTGTACTTTTATGCTGTTCCACACGATTTACCAGTTACTCATAATATGTCTTGTATTATTAATGGATATTTTACACATTCTAGCTTGCATCCCCCAACTAAAACACAAGCTTGCAGTGTCAGGAATTGTAAAAAACATTTCTATATCCCAAGGCAGTTCCAAACACGTCATGGCCAGAGTCCAGATCTCCATCAGGGCTGATCGCTATTCACCTATCAAGTCTTGGTTTCAAACACGCTCGTGAAGCCTTCGTCCTCTCTCAGTACCTGGCACATACCGGTATTATGGTCATTTCAGCCCGTTGTGTTGTCATCTTTTTCTGCTTTTCTTTTGTCTACCCACTAGGAGCAGAGCCTGATGAGGTAAAGGATTATGTATCTTATCATTACTATATCCTTAGTATTTAGCACAATGCCTAGTGGAGGATAGGGGCTCACTATGTATTTGCTAAATGAATAAGTCAATAATCTTGGTCTCCTTTCATTTATGCAGGCATAAGATATTTTTCCTTTATAAGAAGATTCAGAAAATCTGGATAAATTTTGAAAAAATTATCTGCTTAGATCTTTAAAACATAGGTAAAACCAAGTAAAATTTCTTATTGACATTTTGTTCTGTGCACAGAGAGTAATATAGTGGTTAAATAGACTTGAGCTTTGCAATCAAACATGTCTGCATTCTGATTCTGCATGACCTTGAGGAAGTTCCATAGCCTTCATAAGTCTCAGTGACCTCATAAAAAAGTGAGAATTGACTGACTACCTCACAGTGTTGTTGTAACAATTAAGTAGTGTAATGCATGTAGAACTCCTGGCAAATTGACTAGCACAGAATGAGGCTTCAGATCATTTTAATCAATTATTCTTTATTAAGGCAATTTAATAGGAGAAAAGACTAAATGTTATTTCTTGTGCTTCACAGATGTATTCCAGATGAATATACATTTAAAAATATACAAAGAATAAACACAGACAAGTAGAATACCTTTGATTACACAGCTACAAAAATCTGACCACCTTGAAATACTGTGTCAGGGTTAGCAAACTTCCTCTGTAAGGCCAAATAGTAAAAGTTTCAGGCTCTGTGAACTATATGATCTCTGCCACAACTATTGAACTCTGTCATCATAGCATAAAAGTAGCCAGAGACAACACATACACAAATGAGCATAGCTATGACCCAATGAAACATTATTTACTAAAACAGGTAGTGGGCCAGATTTGCCAATTATTGTACTATAATGGATACACTTTCTCTCACAAGAGAATTCTACCATAGGTAATAATTTTATATTTGTATATTTGTGCAATGATGCCAAAACGTAAATGAACAGAAATGTTTAAAAAACATGATGTTTTTTAAACATTGTTAAAAAACAAGACCAAAGCATAATGTTTAAGAAATGTGAATGTATATTTCCATCTTTAAAGGCATTTGAATACAGTACATGAAATTCAAAACCTCAGTTGTGAATTCGCTATTTACCAATGACAAGGTTTAAGTTCTTCAGTGGCCATGAGTAAGTTAAGTTTGTCATCACTTTTTGCCCTGGTGTAGTATTTTCCAAATAGTAAATGCTCAATTCACATGTACATTAAAGTAAATACTAAGAAAACCCTCACATGTAACTAGACACAATTCTATTCATGTATCTTTGAAATCAACTGGAGACATTATCAATTAATGCAAAGATCCTGGGCTTTCAATCCAAAGAAGCTTACCTCTCTGCTCCAGATGCTCATCTTGCTGGCTGTGTGTCTCCAGGTAAGTTCTGTAATGTGGCAGAAATAATATTTGTCTTAAAGCAATGGTTGTCAGCCAGAGTGCAGTTTTTCCCCCAGGGCACATTTGCAATGTCTGAAGACATTTTCAATTTTTTTTATTTATTTATTTTTTTTTTTTGAGACAGAGTCTTGCCCTGTTGCCCAGTCTGCAATGCAAGTGTGCAATCTCGGCTCACTGCAACCTCTGCCTCCCAGGCTCAAGAGATCCTCCCACCTCAGCCTCCTAAGTAACTGGGACTACAGGTGTGCACCATCACACCCAGCTAATTCTTATATTTCTTGTAGAGATGGGCTTTTGTCATTTTGCCCAGGCTGGTCTCCAGCTCCTGGGCTCAAGTGATCTTCCTGCCTCAGCCTCCCAAAGTGCTGGGATTACAGGTGTGAGCCACCGCACTCTGTCTCATTTTCACCATTTGGGATGAGAGACGTTACTGGTTTCTAATAAGTAGAGGCCAGAAATTGTGCTTAATATCTTACAATACCCAGGACAATCCCTACCCTGAAAGAATTATCCAGCCCAAAATGTCAATAGTTCCAAGTTGGGCAAACTCTGCTCTAAGGTTTTTGTGAGGATTAATTCACATAGTGCTCTAAAGGTTTAGCAGAATACTGGGCTCAATAAATCTTAACTGTTAATAAGACTGATTTCTATTGACTGGTAGAAAATATACCTTTATGCAAATTTCGAGTGAACACAAACATGTATAAAAATAAATGAACTCTCTATTTTTGGGGCTAGAAGCTTATTGAAGCATTTCTTTAGATTAAATAATAAAATTAATACCTAGTCATGTATGTATTGACATCTAGAATCCATATGCTCTTTGTGAGCCTTGAAAGGTTTTGAATGATACTTGACTATTCTGTCATTGCCATGGTAAATGTTTTATCTTGTTGTTAATATCTGACTTATTTAAAATTCATGTGGGAAATTTGAAAGTTCTATTTCCTATCTTGAAAATCAATGACAACTTAATCAATGCTGCTAAAACAAGCCCCAGTTCTTATGTAGTAGAAAAGTAAATAAGATGGAGAATTAAAAGTGACAGAATCTTCACATCAAGGACAGAGAGCATATTTCTATCTCGTTCTTCTATGTCTGCAGCCTGAAATATTCCATCTGCTTGCCTCTTTCCTCAGGGAATTGAAGCACCTTGAAAAGGATAAGAAAACTTCAACATTACAACGATGTTTCATATCATTAGGCTCAAATTAAGTAAATAACAGAATCCTAAGCTGATGACACATCCTGGGTTTGCACTAATCATAATTTGCAATCTCCATCATTGTCATCAGAACCTTTTTGCCTAGCAACATTCCTGCTGCTGCTTCTGTTCCGACCCTCTGGGTGCAACTGAAGGAGGAGGCAGTCAAAAGGAAAAACACAAATATCTCCAAGATGGCACTTACAAAAAGCAACAACAATGACAAAGTATAAATACAAACACACACCTTGAAGTTTATGTTCTTACTCAAATGCAAGCATCAACAATGGCCTACTGTCAGCAAGTTAAATGGCTGGGGCTGTTTCAGTCTCCCATTACATGAAGGTATGCAAGCTCATGCTAATACGTATCAGTTGGTACCAAATGAGTGAGTGAGTCAGGAGTGATGAATGAAGTGTGAGGGAAATTGCACTGTTCCTGTACCATCTAAAAGGGTAATGGATATTCAATTCTGCTTGTTTTTGGTCACTGCATATGAGTGCAGAGTGGTTAAGTCTTCCAATTTTTTTCTAAGACAGAAATCTGGAAAGGTTGACATAATTCCATCAAGGAATGAGATTGAAATAAATATATAAACAATTAAAAAGTAGTGTAAAATAGTACAACCACTCTGGAAAATTGGCATTTTCTAATGAAGTTAAATGTACACCTACCATAGGACAATTCTACTTCTAGATATTTACCTTAGATAAATGGAAACATATGTCTATGAAAATGATTTATATAAAATGTCACAGCAGCTGTTTTATCATAATAGCCCCAAACTGGAAACAACTACCACTTCTCTTCCAGCCATTATTCAGATGGCATGCTTCCCCACGCTTTGATTACTCTCCTTTGAATATTTTTCCATTTGTCTGCCTTCCATTCATAATGTAAGATTTTCAGTGTTGTTAGACAGTACAGAGCACAGTGAAGCTGGTCTCTGCTTTATATTACTTTCCATATTTTCACAGATGTAGTCAAAGAAAATGCTAGGTATTTTGTTACATGTTTTCATTGATTTATGTTTTTTAATAGATTCCTATTGAACATAGTTACTTAAATGGTTCAAACACTTACATATCTGCCTCTAATTATCTGCCTTTTTTATTCTATTCCTGTATAAAAACATTACTTGTTCTCTTACACTTTTGCTCAAACGGCATATTGCGATTCATTTTAATCTTGTTTGATTTGATTTACCCATTTCTGTAAGCTATTTAACTTTATTGAAATGCTCTCTGGTTGTGAGAGGCAATTTTATTTGGGACACCAGCATTGTAACTATCTCCATCCTGATGGGCATATACTATATGCTAGGTGCATTTATGTTAGTTATCCCACATCATCCATACAATGGGTAGATGGCCTTTTCCAAATTATAGTTTTATAGATGAGGAAGTTGAGGTTTAGAATAGTTTAAATCACTTGACTAAAGCTACACATCTGATAAATGGCGAAGCCAGAACTCTCTTCCAAGTGTAACAATTTCAAAATCCATATGCCTAATCATTATGATTTTATTTATCTGTAATTTGAAAATAGTCTCTTCTGATCATTCTAGCCATTGCTAAAATTTATAGTAAGACTTGGGTCAAAGTTCTAATGCTTTAAGAACACAATTCTTGAGTAACACACACACTTCTCACTTAGCTCAAGTAAGATAACAACCCACTAAATTTACAAAAACACATTTCACCCACCCTGTTTCTAAAACCTAGTCCAAAAGGATATAATTAAAGGCTTGAATGAACACACCTGGACTTCAGCATAATGATCATGTTTATTCATAGTTTCCAGTCTTGTTCTAGTCAACTCATATGTGTTTAGCCTAAGACATTTCTCTTGCCTGCACACACTGTCTTATTTCTGAAACCAGATTGCTTCTAAAAATTGATGTATATATTTAATGCAACAGCATTTCTAAGACTGATGTCCCATTGAGGAGCTAGGGTAACCTGTTGTGAATCTTTTGAATGCTAAAGGTTATGTTCCAGTCTATAGTTATCAATATTCGTCTTTCGAAAATGAGAGCTACCTTTTTCTTCTCAACTTTCTTGTGCCTCTCCTGTTGGTCCTTTATTCTCTTTGATTAATTCAATATCAAGTTTTCAATCTCATTGGTAAGTTTTCTCACTTTGGAACTTAGACAACCAAAGCCTGGCCACAAAGCCATTTATTCAGGGCAGAATGTTTCTCCCCAACCACTTTACCTGCATGGTGCTTCAACCACTTCTGTCAAGTGTTTGTTCCACTCTTGAGATGCTATGCTTTTGAAGGGATAAAAAACGTAGCTTGTTAACCTCAAGCACTTTTTTGTTTTCTTCTTGTAAATGTAAAAACCTTGAAAGATCTTTTGTTTGTCCTTGTGTCCTTATAAACATCAGGTCTTTGAATTTCAGCTTTCCTGAATTTATTTGTAACTCAAAACTTCTGTCTGTCTTTGTTCTTTATATGCATGCTTTAAAAAATCTAAGGTTAATATAGATTTCCTTATTCAACAATGTTTAAGAAAAATAAAACCTAGCATTTTAGAGTATTTATGAATTAGAAATTCTAACTGTCTTACAAACTTACCTAATATAAACCTTCTAAAAATTGTGAACAGTTACCTCCATTTGACAGATACTGAAATTGAGGCTCAGAGACTTTAATTTGCTCAAGTGACATAGCCATAAAAATGTAGAACTAATCCATTTAATTTTAAACCCCATGCTCTTAACTAACATTCTTGACAAAAGCCTCACCTTCTGTCAAGTCCTGTATCCTTTTCTTATCATCTTGCTTTCCATCATTCTTACCGTTGCCACAGAACAATGCCTACCTTTTCTCTCAACATTTAAAATTATTTCTAAAGATTTTAGAATTATATCTTCCTGGGCCAGGTGTGGTGGCTCATGCCTGTAATCCCAGGACTTTGGGAGGCCGAGGCGGGCGGGCCACGAGGTCAGGAGATGGAGACCATTCTGGCTAACACTGTGAAACCCCGTCTCTACTAAAAATACAAAAAAATTAGCTGGGCGTGGTGGCGGGCATCTGTAGTCCCAGCTTCTCAGAGGCTGAGGCAGGAGAATGGTGTGAACCCGGGAGGCAGAGCTTGCAGTGAGCCGAGATCAGGCCACTGCACTCCAGCCTGGGCGATAGAGCAAGACTCCGTTCCCCCCACCAACAACGCCCCCCCCCCCCAGCAAAAAAAAGAATTATATCTTCCTTATTTATCCAGGTCATATTTGTCATAAGGAACAATTCAATCTAGCAGAATGATACTTAATAAATATAGGAAAGTTTATGTAAAATGTAGGATTTACACATACTTTTACAATTCCTCTACTACATTGATCTGATTTATGTACTTTGGAATAAGTGAGACATATATTACAAAGAAATAGGATACAAGGTGGAATATTATAGTTTACATAAGAGATACATGTTCAAATAAGAGTTGGCAGGAGGGAAGCATGACTTCCCTCAGGGGAGTCATGGAGGAACCAGACTCTTCACTCTGTAGCACGTATCACAGTTTTCTACTAAAACCCGTTACCTTCTTCCCTGTGGTAATAGGATTTTGCTGGATACCTGGTTAGACTACATTTCCCAGGCTCCCTTGCCATTTTTGGGGGGCCCTGGGGGGACTATGTAACAGAGTTTTCTCCAAGGGAATGTAAATAAAAATGAAGTAGCCTCCAAGCTACTTTTTAAAAATCAAATGAGTCTCTTGAACATTCTCTTTTTCCTTCTACTGTCTGGATTTGAATTAGAAGGGCCTGGTAGTATAACAGAGCCAGGAGGTGGTAGGCACCAGGGTCCTTGAATCAATATGGATGAGGTTACCAGTAGACCAGAAACACCAGCCTGTATTATAAATGATCAAAAGATAACCTTCTATTATGGTAAACCACTGGTATTTGGAGAAAGGAGTCTGTAATGGCAGCTTCTCTTACTTTATAACATACTTTTCAAACATCTAACAAAATATATCTACCACCTTTCACAATTTTGCACCTGGAAGGGTTAGGGAAAAGTGTATCCTGGGGCCTCAGGGAAAAAAAAGAAAAAAGGAAAGAAAAAAATTACAAATGGCTTAACACAATAATTCTGTAGAAGATATAGTCAATGAAAGCACACATGAAGGAGTAATCAGTTCTGCCTAAGAGAGTGTTTAAAAGATTCACAGGGGGAGGAAACTTGAAGAATGAAGATATGTTTTCAAAGAAGTTGGAAAATAACATAGGAAGTGAGAACTGCATGAACAAAATTTAGGGATTAAAGAATGAACACTGGCCACTTCATGGGAAATTTAGTTTGGCCGAAACACTTGACACAAAAGAAATGAGAATAGACCCTGGAAGGGGCTCAAGGATGGAAAGTAAAACTAGGCCAGATCTTGAAGCCCTTTGGATACCTTGTGTAGTAGGCAGAATAATGACTTCCCTAAAGATGTAAGTATGATAGGCTACAAGGCAAAGGGAATTAGGGTTGCAGATGGAATTACAGTTGCTAATCAGCTGACCTGAAGACATTAAGATAGGGAGACGATTTTGGATTACTTCAGTGGGCTCAACGTAATCACAAGGGTCTTTAAAAGGGTTAGAGAAAGATGTGACTATGAAAAACCAGAGAGATAGCAACAGGACAGGAGTTGGCCTGATAGTGTTGGCTTTGAACACAGAGGAAGGGGCTACGAACCAAGGCAAGCAGGTGGCCACTAAAAACTGAAAAAGGCAAGGTAACGGGTTCCTCCCAGAGCTCCTGAAGATAATCCAACCCTACTAACATTTTGATCTTAGCTCAGTGAGATCCAAGTCAGGCTTTTGAGCTACAGAAAATACATTTGTATTCTTTAAGTCACTCAGTTTGTGGTTATTTATCGTAGCAGCAGTAGGAAACTAATACTTCTTGCTAAACCTGATCTTGGAGAACAGATGAATATTGGGATCAGAATTGCCCCCAAGAGGGTCCACCTGGGAGCAGTGTGCAAAATGGGTTAATTGGGCAGGACCAGAAAAAGAAAAATAGTCAGAGATCTATTTTTAACAGATTAGACCTCCAATAAGATGCTGGAAGGCAACTAATGCAGCAGAAGTAAGGAAGCCGAGAGAAAGAATATGCTTTGCAGTGAGAATAAGCTTGTTTTCCGAGTCTGTGCTATCCAGAAAGTTGGGGATTGGGCAGATGCAATGTATTGTTAAAGCAACGTATTCTGTGAACTTATGTAGATATAGGAGAATAATTCTAGTTTCTTGATACATTTCAAGATATTATTACAAATATTGAAAACAAAACCAAGGTTGCTTGCTCCTTTTCATATTTCTGAAGCATTTGTAAATCTTGATGCTTTTCCCCTCACATACTCTTTTATGCACAATGCAGATGTAGCCTTACCTGCAAATGCAGGCCTGTGTAAAAGTGACATCTTGTGTTGCTTTGATGCATTGCATTTCTTGTTCTCCCTGTCACGATTCCTCTGTTTTGGAAATTCTTTTACTTTTATTTTGCTAAAGAGCAAAGAGAGACTAAACTAAAATTATTGCAACATAAAGCGTATAACTCATGGTATTAAAAAATTACATTGTTCTCTATGTTATTTATAAATTATACAATAGTGACAGGTAAATCATTCCAATGACAGAATTTATATCTGCCCTTGTACTGGATTGTAAACCTGAGAGAGAAGAGTTTGATTTTTTTAAATTAAATTTAGTAGTTATTATGAAAATGCTTTAGAACAAAAGAAATCCACTGATTTGAAATGTCTAGAAACTAGCCTGTTTTCTATTTTCATGAAATGTTACTTTTCATGGCTGACGAGGTCCTTGTGGTTTCAGGTGTGAGAGTATATTATCCTATCTCTTACTATAAATTCACTTCACTGCTAAGTTTGAGGCTCAATGGCAATTTTATCAAAACTTGCCAATTCATTTTAGGCCACAGATAGAATACTCACACACTTGAGTAAATAAAAAAGTATGCAAAATTCTGGAAAAATAGCTATGTGATCAATAAAATTAATTATGAGGATGTCAATTGTTCCCTTCTTCCCCATGGTTAACAGGCTGGTATCAGAAATACTAGAGACAGAAAATCTTTCCAGCAGGTTAGTAAGGATTAAGGTGGTATGATGCAATCTAGAATAATGGGGAACAAAAAAGAATATATGGTTGAACACGAAAAAGAAAACTAAATGAAAGAAACAGCATGCCATATGATCACCACAGATAGAGAGAGAGAGAAGCCCAAAGCTTAAAGCTAAAAGAGAAAGGAAGGTCTGAAATCTCGAATAATAAAACTAGGAGACTGCTGGGAAGAAACACTCTGGAGAAGAAAGAAAAGGTGCCTAGATCAAAGATAGATGAGACAGAATCTTAAACGAAGAGGAATAAATGGTTGTCAAAGGCAGAGAAAAACCACAGAAGCTAGAAGCTGGCTGTTGGAGAACATGATTACAGATCCCACCCTTAGATGGGAATGAGACCGAAGGGTATGAGGGAAGGATATAGGTTCACTTGTACCATTAAACAGTAAATTGCAGCTGGTACAAACTCATCATTCACTCAAAGTTTACAGCCCCCCCAAAAATGAAGTGAAATAACAACTGTTAGATGTGGTGAAGACAAAGTGGTTTGTCAAATCAGACACCTGGGTTTGAAGCTTGGATTTCACTTTTTTTTTTTTTAAACTTTGCAAGTTCCCTAACTATTCATCTTGTTTACTCATCTGTAAAGTGAGGACAACTGCACCTTTTTCCTAAAGCTATTGTGAGGGAGAAGTGAGATAAGCAAACCTCCTTGGGCCTAGTTGCCAGTAATCAGTAGATACTAAAACTTCAATTAATAATTGGTTGGGAGATTGACTTTAGCTCTTTCTTGCCTAAGTAAATCATGATACACACACACACGTGATCAATAAGAGAAATAGATTTCTAAAACTGTTTTTGTATTACATGTGGAGATGGGGAAGACAATTACTCCCCTTTCTTGGTAAAAAAAAAAAAAAAGAATGAATCAAAGATAACAGAGAAGTTTGGGGCAGGCCACTTGTCAAAGGTAGAAGTTTTAATCTCTTTGCATATTGTTTCCCACATTAGCATATAGAAGTTGTGGTGGGAAGAATGTTATAGAGTTGATCTTTGAATAACGCAGGGGTTAGGGGTGCCGACCTCCATGCAGTTGAAAAATCTATGCATAACTTTTAACTCCTCCAAAATTTAACTATTAATAGCCTACTGAGAAAGCAAGAGAAAGGACAGTGGTATTAAGAAAATCAATATTATTTAAAAAGTCAGAATAGAAAATACATTTACTATTCACTAAGTGGAAGTGGATTATCATAAAGGCCTTCAACCTCATCTTCAACGTTGAGTAGGCTGAAAAGGAGGAGGAAGAGGAGGGGTTGGTCTTGAGGGGTTGGCCTTGCTGTCTCAGGAGTGGCAGCGGGTGAAGAAAACCTGTGTGCAGGTGGACCCACGAAGTTCAAATTTGTGTTGTTCAAGGGTCAGCTATACAGTTGGCTTTGTTTTATCCCCATAAGATCAAGGATAATTTACCTGGGGTAAAGTACGGTCTGTGGGCTGCCTGCAACGTTACCCCGCATGATGCCTGTTCAAACTGCAAAGTCCTGGAGTCATACCCAGACTTTCCAAAACACATCTCTAGGAGTGGAGCTCAGTGACGTAATGTTTGTAGCAAGATCCCTGGGTAATTCTGGAGTACCCTAAAGTTTGAGACACTTTGCTAAGAGAGCTTGCAGCACCTTCATGTTTACGTGGAAATTATCATCTTTTTTAGTGTGATTAACATACCAAATGTTTTCTAGTTGATGAAAAACAATCTTTAATTGCTCAGAAACTTTCCCAAATTATTCAATTGATGGCATCTTCCTTTTCCTGAGCATTATTTTGAGGTTCAGTTAGCAATTTTAAGTTTATCAAGCTGCATTCATTGACTTTCTGAAACATGTAATATTTTAGGAGGAGTAGGTTTCAATGGTGATTGGGTGGTATTTTTTTAAAACAGGGAAGTTGGGTTGACCTTGTGCCAGTTGACGATGTATCTCCTAGTGATTCTGATAACTGTACTGCCTCTGTCCTGGCTGAGAACATTGTTTTCAGCAGCCCTTACATCCTATAGCAGCAAACTGGATTTGGGTTCCTGGCACGTTTCCTCAACTCATGCAACTATGTAAGTTGGTAGAGGAGGATCTACTTCAGCACAGTCCAAATACCTGTTTAATGTGGCTTACTATGGCACTTCCTATTGGAAATAATGCAACTACTACAGAGCACAGGGCATCCAGGGTGAGTCTATAGAACAGTGGCAAGGCCTACGTGAATGAATTGGGTAAACTGTAATGTGGAAACACAGTCAACAGTAGGAGAATCCGGATAGAGGATCTGTGAAAACTTTATGCAGCATTCAGAAAACTAAAGAGAAGTAAGAAAATAAAATAGAGTTTGTTTTACCAGCTTCAATTTTACAGGCTGCATTAAGATCAATTCAAATAAGTTGGTTAAATGGAAGGAACTAAACATCTACCATGTCTGTAAAATCTCCTACCCATCTCTTAAGCATTTTACTTAATTGTTTCTAATCATTCTAATATCTTTACTCACCACACCCGGCCCAAACAGAGATGATCATTTATTTCTTCAACCCATCACTGTGACTTGTAAATGCCTCCAGTATAACATCTGCTGTGTTATTCTACAACCATGTCTTTAAGTGTTTCTTTAATGCCCTGGAAAACGATGACCTACTTAAGACAGAGGCTATGTCTCCTATAGCTTTATACCCCCAGTACTTAGCACAGAGCCTGGCACATGATAGGAGACAAATATATATGTGTTTAATAACTGAAGTTATGGTAAGGGATTGAATATGTTTTTCCAGTCTTTAAGAAGGACCATTTTAGTAAGAAGGTAAAGGCAAGCATACAAATTACTATGTTGTAAGGTAGAGCAAGGTTAGAGTCATCAGAGATTTCATCTAATTAAGGGGATTTCAAAAGGCTTCGCAGAAAAGATGGTGCTCAAGATGGGACTTAAGGAATTAATAGGTTTTCAACAAATGGAGTGTGTTTGGAGGAAAGTAGCTATTTCAGATAAATGAAACAGCACGAACAAAGATAGGGGCAAAATCTCAGGGAATATTGAGTGAACAAAGCGAAGACCATCCTGAATAGAATTTATTGTAAGAATGGCAATTAGATTTTATCTCATAGGCCATATATGACAACTGGTAGAAGCTGCCTGTATTGAAGATCATTCCTGGGCCCAGTCTGAGTTCAGCATGCAAGAATGTCATAATCAAAAAAATTGTGGCAATGGATGCAGGAGAATACTATCTTTGATTTAAGGCCCTCAGAACCCACCATTTCTATGTAAATGGAAGAATCCTAATGTTTTTCCAAACATTTATTTTGGCAGATACTACATTGACTATGTGCCAAACTCCAAACTAGATGCTGAACAAATATAACAGTAGCAAAGGCAATGATGACACCTAAAAAGATTAAGCTTCCGTAGGAAATACAGTCATTAAATATTTTCACAAATAATTGTATAATTACAATTGTGATGATCATCATGAAGATCAATTATCAGGTGCTATGTCTTTGCAAGGGAGACTGTCCTGATAAAAGGGCCCAAGAAAACTGCCCTGGCAAAGTGATCTGTAAGCTGCTACTGGAAAGATCCCTCTCCCTAGGTGAGATAGAGGGAAATCAATGCTCCTTGATATCTGTTGGATGTTTCAAGTTTTGGGAGTCTCACATTTTTCCTTATTAATATAGCATTCTCACAACTAGTTAAAACATCTTAGAGAAGTGAACAAAAGAGGAGTATATTTTCTTAAATTAGTAGTTCTCATACTGTGGGCCCTGGACCAGCAACATCATCCTCACCTGGAAAATTGTTAGGAATGTATATTCTTGGATCTCACATCACACCTACTGAATCAGAAGTTCTAGTGGTGGAACCTAGCAAGATGTGTTTTAGCAGGCCCTCCTGGTGATTCTAATGCACACAAAGGTTTGATAACCACTGCCCTGAACTAAAATGCACACTTTCAAACAGAAGGAGGTTTTCAGGAAAGGGAGAAGTTTCTTTTAAAGAGTTTCTTTCTCAGTAACAAAAAAAAAATTCGAGATATAAATGAAATTCCTTACTGAACACTTAGAAGGCACAAAGAGTTTGCTATCAAGACATTTAGATATTTAGATTTTCTAAGAAGGGACATAACAATTCGTTTGTGTCTGGTGATCCATTTACTTCTTGTAGGATCCTAGGAAATATGAATGGTGTTTAGGAAAAATTGATCGGGACTGCTGTCTGTAAGATGAAACAGGCTTTTTCCAAGCTGTAGTATGTTTGTGTGTGCTCGCTTTCACAAAAGTCTCAATGTGGATTAAAGAACAAACATATTTGTAGAACTTCTGTCACAGTGAAACAGAATGAATCACCACAGTGCCCTGGACTGAGCCTCCAAAATGCTTTGGTCAAATGGCAAACTAAGACAAAAAATAATTACAAGTATCTTACAATTTACAATTATAAATAGAGGAGACAGTGAAAACTCCTGAAAATATCTTTCCAGCTTGGAAAGCTGTACTTTAGGAAATCTGTACTTTAGGAATGTAGAAAGAGACAGAGATTTCTGTTTTTACTATGGTACATTGGTCCAATCGAAGGTGCAATTTATGAGTAGAAAACTCTGATGTCTAGAAAATCTGTGAGAGTTGCAATTATTAAAGACATCATGTTACTCATGGATTATCAATGTCATCTAAACCCTTGCTACTCAAAGTAGCATCAGCATCACCAGGAAGCTTGTTAAAAATGTAGAATCTCAGACCCCACCTCACATCCACTAAATCACAATCTGTGGATTACCATGATCTGCCAGTGTATTAGTTCACTCTCAGGCTGCCAATAAAGACATACCTAAGACTGGGTAATTTATAAAAGACAGAGGTTTAATGGACTCACAGTTATACATGGCTGGAGAGGTCTCACAATCATGGTGGAAGATGAAGAAAGAGCAAGGGACGTCTTACGTGATGGCAGGCAGGAGAGAGCGTGTGCAGGGGAACTCCCCTTTATAAAACCATCAGATCTCATGAGATTTATTCACTATCACAAGAACAGCACAGGAAAGACCTGCCCCCATGATTCAATTACTTCCCACCTGGTCCCTCCCACAACAGATGAGAATTATGGGAGCTACAATTCAAGATGAGATTTGGGTGGGGACACAGCAAAAACATTATTCAGATGCCCGTTAAAGTTTGAGAAGTACTGATGAACTTACATCATCCAAGTTTCAGAAGTACTGACAGACTTACATCATTCTTGAGTTGACGCCAGATTTCCATCACCTATAGGAAAATTTTCCTGTTGGAAATTTTCCTGTATGGAAATCTGGCGTCAACTCAAGAATTTGTTACTGCATGCTAATCTAAAACTGGTTAATTGCAAATACTGGTAATAGAAGATATCCTGAGTTTCAACATAAAATAATGAAGAAAAATTTTAAAAAGCCAAATCAATATAAATAAAGGTATTTGAAAATTGTTTATTGAGGAAGAGTAAGTGAAAACCAATTGGTCTATAATATTGCAATAGCTCAGTGATAAGGTCTATTTTATATGACACTTCCCAAGAGATTCCATTAGAGCAGAAGTCAAAGAAAATCCCTTTTGCTAGAAAGAAAAGCCTTAGAGGAAGATAAAAGACAATTAATTATACCTGAAATCTGCACAATGAACTGAGAGCAATATACCATTGAAAACCAAAGGATTATTGCAGCCTATTAACAGTAAGAATGTCTACTGTACTAGAAAAAAAACCTTAATTTTTATAGTTTATGACTATGTTAATTCCCCAAGCAGATACCTGGTCGACATTTATGGTAACTCTGGAAAATTTTCCCTCTCTTTAAACACTGAAATTTGCATTTTCTAATGTCACATACATGGTAAAACATTGTCATGGAGGGAGTAAGTTATTCAGAAGTAGATTTACCCTACAATAATATCAACACTTTCATTTCCAAGCTCATTGATTTTTTTTTTTTTTTACCTTAATGAGTACCGGAATTAGTAGAGTACAAAAAGCCCTATATCGGTTGAAAATCTTCTCACAGCTCAATTTAATTTAATTTGAAAATAGCTGTTTTACTGTCTCTCAAACTAAATTTAAGAAATCAAACAGAGCATTAACATGTTAATTAATAAGAGGTTCAGTGGGAAGGTAGGAAATGATTAGTTGCATTACGATTCCTTCAGAATTTCTCTAGGAAACTCATTAAAGGGCTCTTCAGAAGTGCTTTCCTGAAAAGATGACAAACACATGGCATATGTTCTCCAGGAATCTCGAGGTGCATGTAAAGCCTGTGTCTGGCTTCTCTCCACAGTGTGGAGGCTCACAGCTGTGTTCAAAAGGGGACACTCACCACAGTGGCATTTAATGAGTGACACACAGCATGTCCTAGGTCAGACATATGCACCAATTTGAAAAGCAAGAAGTCAAACTCAATGTTTCCAATGCAAAGGGGAGCAATTTTCTTTGGGTTGGCCAAAGAAGACATGTTCTATGTTTTTCTTCTAGGAATCAGAGATGAGATGAAGAATTCTCTAATTAATCTACATTTTATAGCTCTTTACATTTAAATTTTTCATAAATATTAACTCATTTGATCTCAGCCACTCTGATAATTAGATATGGTGGGCATAATTCCCAGAGGAAGCAAAGTATTGTTAAACTCACATTAGGTGCCCTGTTCCAGGTGTTTAATAAGCTTCAGTTTCTGTCTCTGCCTCATTACCTTTCTTTCCACATCTAAGCAGACAACTTTCCAAAAAAGTATTTTAGATGCTTAAATGAATACATACAATTTCAGATAAAATATGATCTAGGTATCAGGATAAAAAGGTAGAGGTTATGAATCTAGTACTGATCATACAAAGTCTTATATTCTTGCTAGAGGAAAACCCCAAGGCTGGATCTCACCCTTGTGCCAGCCAGTGGAAGATAAAAACCAAATGTCCTTTTAGCAGTGGTTCTCCAAAGTATGGTTCCCAACCCATAGTATCAGCATCACTTTGGAACTTGTCAGAAATGCACATGTTGTGGCTCCACTCCAGACCTACTAAATTAGAAACTCTGGATGTGGGGACTCGTCCTCTCTGATTTAACAAGTCCTGCAGGTTATCTGATACCTGCTCAAATTTGAGAACTACTGTATTATGGAATTACCCATAAGAGAAAAGTTGAATAGTTGCTTATGAGAGGATTATCTTCATGAGATGGGGTCTTTTCTATTTTGTTCTCCTTTGCGTTTCTACCACAGAAACCATCATATAGCACACATGATATAATTTCTTGAATCAATACGCCATTCCTCAAAATATGTTCCGAAAGTTCTTTTAGAGTATGTACCGTTTAATGTAGCAAACAAATTTTTAATAATAAAGAGAGCAGCACAGTTCACAGGATTTTTATAATGATGAAAAATGTAGTCATGACTTAAACTAATTGCATGAATAGCTAGTACTACATAAGCTAGAACGGCTGTTCTCAAACTTAGCTATTCAGACCTGGCCTGATCATCAGAATTACCTGGAGTGGTCCCAATAATTCTGATACCTTCAGCAGGTCTAAAGTGGACCCAGAAATTGGAATTTTAAAATGATGCTCTCTAAATCCTTATATGGGCATGTATGTTTACAAACACATATGTGTATAAATGTAAATGCACTATGCTTTCAACATAAATGTAAAGGCAGTATGCTAACATTTATTTTGAGATAACTAAAATTTTTACACAATAAGTTTTAATATTACAAAGTCTTGTGTTGACTCTTCTATTTTCTATTTGTGTATAACAAGACAGCAAAAAACAATGAAAGAGAAAAGCAGAAATAGAATCTGGGAGTCCTTGAGAAGCAAGAAACTAGATTACTCTAGTTATTTCACCCAACATTTTCATAATTTGATTTATAAAATTTCTTCTTACATCTTAATACTATGTGTTTTGTGATTTTTTCTGTAAATTTAATAAAAAATAGTTTAATGTTCACAACTGTGTTACTTTATAGATTTAAACTTACTGTAATAATTCATTTTTAATAAAACACAGAATCCTCAATGTCTTTGTGTAGGGTAGTTTAGATAATCAATTTAGAATTAATTTTAGTGTACCTTTTTGTGTTCTTAAAAAGTCAATAATTGATATGTTCTTTTATTGTTCTTTGAACCATGCTTTAGACAATTTTTTCAATTTAATTATCTCTATCGGAGAGACACATATACAGTTATAAAGACTGGCAGAGTTTGATCATAAATATTTATGTCTCACTTTCACAACTATAGATCATACTAATAAAAGGACATGGCCTTTCTCAAAGTTTTGAGATTGAGCTAGACAAATGTCTGCAAGATAGAGATATAGTAAATTGATTACACACATCTTTGGTGTTATTTATTAGATTATGTAAATAAATTCCTTTAATTTTTAAGGACTTACATAGTACTTATTCTGTGCCATGCTCTTTCAAAAGAGATTAATCAGTCAATGTATTCCTCCTAATAGTGCCATAAAATAGATGCTGTTATTAATCCCACTTTATCGATGAGAAAACAAAGAAAATATGTTAGGAACATTGTTGTTGAGCAAATATCAAATCTTGATATTTTAAAAATATGTTGGTAAAGAAATTCTCAACAGATTACCTAAATGGTTAAAGAGATAAGAAATAGGGAGGAAGGAAGAAACCCCAAAGAAACTGGAGCAATTTTGCCTGGGAAAAATGTGATAATTATATAAAAAGGCATAGCACAGAATAAATAAGATCTGATGAATGGTTTAATGACCCATAATCACAGCATAATCCCACAGTTTGAGGGAAGATTTATAAAGATGACTTGGTTACAATCAACAATGTTAAAAGTTTCTTCTAGCTCCATGTTTTATGAATGGTTTACATGTAATAAACTAGATCAGCCCTTGTTGCGAAACACATTCTTTTCCACCTTCTTTGGGGATGCCATGACATCAACTGCAAAACATATCATGCAAATTTGGAATATAAACAAAATATTCCTTTTTGACAAATTTAATTTCTCATGTTTATGTAGGTAGGAAAGCCAGAAAGAGCTGACTTTTCTGCCATTATCTTCCACCACATGTTAGAAATCTTTGTCCATTTTGCCAAGGAAGTTTCAGCCATCTATCCTCTGAAAGTATGAAATTACTGAGTTCAAAGTGGAGAACAGTGTTCAAAGCAAACATCATGGTATCAACTATTTTCTACCTAATAACCTGGAACAAACTTGAAGCTTGAGGTTTACCTAGTTTGGAAGGTGTTTATCAATATCTTGAAGTTTTAAAATAAAATAATTCCCCACAAACTGACAAGCTTTCCATTTATAATGAGCCCAATAAGATAGGCTGCTTTTTCGTGTTTATCCAAACGGGCAATTTTTTGTGTAAAACTTTCACTTGCCACGAATGATCGGATTAAGGACAGGTTTAAAACCTGCTTTCTCCAGAAACTGTAGTTGGCTCAAAGAGAACAATTTGATGCTATCTTATCGGGAGGGAAACGTCAGAAATTAGGCCTAAGGGGAAAAGACAAGTGAGTATGTGGGCAAATAGAAGGCTTCCGAAAACCTGGCCTTGTATGACCTGTATTGGTAAATAGTGTGCCACACTCCAAAAAGGAGGACATGGGTGTCATCATTTTACACAGATGCAAAATTATGAACACCGATCAAGGGAAACTTTCAAGTATTAGATAGTAAATTAGTGCCTTTCACGTTTTGACCAAGCAGCACAACGTGATGCAGCTGATCACTCTCTCCTCCTTGAAACTCCTCCTTCACCTAACTTCCAAGGCATCACATGCTCCCAGACCTCACTGGCATTACCTTCTTCATCTCCTGGGCTGCTCACTCCTGATTCCCCCAACTTCTACAGGTTGGAGTTCCCCAGCCTTCAGTCTTCTCATCTTTCCTCTTATAAACCATGCTGGTTTCTTTAGCTTAAAACCAGTCACACTAATATTAAATGTATGCTAGTTTCTGCCTTTTGTTCTACCATGATTTCAGAAATGTATGTGAAACTTAGTTAACTTGCCTTATGTATTAGGAGACATGAAACCTTTAGTAGATAACACTTTAGACAATCAATTATAATTTCAAATAAGAATTTATTATCCAAATTATATATCAGACTCTGTGCTAGACACATAACATACATTATTTTATTTAACATCAGGGCAATCTTTTAGGTAGTGAATGTTGTCCCCATTTAACAGATGAGCAATGGTTCCAAGGTCATGTACCCAGGCATACAACAATAGCTGACATTTGAGTGCTTACTCTGTGCTCTCTGCTACCTTAGCTTCCTAACTTTCCCAATAATCCTATAAGGTAGCTAGTATGATTTTACAAGTGAGAAAACTGGTTTAGAAGGATGGCAAAACTAATAGGTAGAATATTTACAGTTTAATTTTTTAAACTCTAAAGTTACTATCTCTTTGTGTCAGCACAGAATCTTCTGGAGAGGAAAGAAGAAACCATGTCTAGACAAGGTGCTGGAAAGACCCAGGGAAGACACAGGTGAGCTAAGAAAGCAGTAGAAACTGGGTAATTAAAAGTCAACATAATGGCTGGAAACTTGTTCAAGGAGATATAAAAAGAAAGAAAAACCAAAAGAGAGACTGTATGGATGAACTTTGTCTATTTACAATTTTGTCTAAGGCCAAATCTGCAGTCTGGTCCCACCGCATGTTATCTAAGTTGTTCATATACCAATACTAAGAGCTACTGAAATTCTTCCAAAAAATCAAAATCATTTCCCCTTTGATTTGCTAGTTTTCCCTCTTGGTAAATAAAGATTCATTTTTTAGTAATAACTGACCTGCCCTAAGGGTTCACCACTTTCTTCTGATCTCAAATCTTGTGCTAGGTCTTTAGGTTACAATTCATGAAACTAAAAAATAAACAAAAAAATTCTCTTACTGTGGTTTCTGCTTTTCTCTTTTAAAGATATATTTTTAAGGTCTAATAATATTAACATGATGAGCTTAGCTAACTGTATAAGATTGATTCTAAAAATTGTACACTGAAATTATCTTTTAGACATCTAAGAAAGCTCAAGTTCTAATTTCTTCATTTAGTCATTTTATTAGTCCACTCTCATGCTGCTATAAAGAACTACCCGAGACTGGGTAATTTATAAAGGAAGAGATTTCATTCATTCACAGCTCTGTATGGCTGGGGAAGCCTCAGGAAACTTACAATCATAGTGGAAGGGGAAGCGGGAGCATCTTACATGGCAGTGTAGGGGTAGGAGAGAGAGAGAGAGATTGAGAGAGAAGCAAAGGGGAAAGAGTCCCTTATAAAACCGTTAGATCTCATGAGAATTCACTCACTGTCAGGAGAAGCATGCGGGAAACTGCTGCCAAGATTCAATCACCTCCTTTCCTCTACACACCAGGCATTACAGGTCCTTCACTCTACACATGAGGATTACGATTTGAGATGAGATATGAGTGGAGACACAGAGCCAAAACATATCAGTCATTAAATGTTTATCAAACACCTATATGACAGACTCTGAACTAGATACAAAGATTTTCAACATCTTATTTCCTGGTTTAGAAGTTCATGGCCAAACCATAAAGGACACAGATAAATAAGAAACTCTGAACCAATATAACACACACACACACACAAAAGAAAACTAACAGAAAAACATAAGGAAATTTATAATTTCTCACGAAATGAAGTCCAGGATAACAAGTTTAAATGCTGGTTGAATCAGCAGTTACAAGATATTGCTCATTAGAAGGCCAACAGACTTCAACACTCATGCTTGGAAATAAACTTGACTGATGGGATGAGACAACAATTCTCCTAGGTGAAAGGAAAAGTGATGGTTGAGAGACAGGTCACAGATTGTAGCCAAATGGTCACAAGCAGCCAAAGACTTTGGGCATGAGTCACTGGTTTTCACAGAAAAGATAGATATGACTCTTTAATTCAAAAAGCCTGTTAGGGGACCTCAGATAAGAGAGTGGACACTGTCCAAGAGATCATTCAGGCAGATTTTGTAGAGCAGAAAGAATACAGGACTGGGAAAAGACTCATTTAGGTACATTAATGTGTAAGGGGCAAATCAATAGGCGATGGACGTGAAGTAAAAGGCTATTATGAGACAACTGGAGGTATAAAAGGTAAATCAGGAAGAAACACTGCCCTTGAAGGTAGAGAGCAATGCTTCAAAAAGGAAGAGGTGCTCAGCATTGTTTAAAAAATCATTTAGATAGTAAGAAGATGTAAATAAGTAAATAAATAAACAAACAAACAAACAAACAAACCCCTGGATTTGTCAGAAGGCCATAGTTAAACTGTTTGAGAGGCCATAGGTCATAGCAGTGAGAGCAGGGCCTCTAGAGCTAGATTTCTTGAATTAAAATGCTGGCACCACTACTCGCTAACTGTGTGGCCTGAGGCAAATGATTTAATCTTTCTGTGTCTTGTGTTTAGCATCTATAAGAGACTCCAATTCAAAAAGAAAAAAAGGTATAACATAGTACTTACTTCAAAGGATTATTGTGAAAAATAAGACAATATTAAAGCTCTTAAGACACTGATCGAAGACTTAGCAAGTGGTTGTTAGGGTTGGATAATAGATACAGTACATATTTAATGTTGAATGATGGTAGCAGAAACCAATTGGCAGTGAGTTGAAAAGTGAGTAAGAGATACAGAATAGGAGAACAGAAAACAGTGGAGCTTCAGGAAGTTTTTCAGCGAAGGGTAAGGAAGCAAAGACAGCAGTCTGACAAGACAGAGGCTTACAAGAAGTATGAGCTTTTGTTGTTTGTTTTTGTTTATTAAGGATGACAAAGATTTGGTCATTAAAAAAAGATCCTAGCCTTCCACCGGCTCACGCCCAAACCCCTGCTCATGGAAGAGGCCCCTGCTAGAACATGGACCCTTCCATGCCAATGTGACTGAGTTGCCCACCTGGACAGAGGGCTAAGATCATTGTGGGCTGCCTGGGCATGTGAGTGGGGATGTCAGGCAACGCCAGAGTTCTAGGGGGAAGACATGGATTACCAAGAGCATAACCCAGAGATTCACACGCACATGAGCTGAAGCTTCAAGCCTCTGGGCACAAGTCCCATCCTCCCATTGAATTTCTATGAAATAGTTTCAAAGATAAAAGTGTTAAGAATCTCAAGGCAGCCACCACAGAGCATGGAACCCCAAATATTGGGCCTTTATGAATAGAGGGCCCTGTGCTACTGCTTTGGTGCCATGGCTGTGAAGCCTGCCTGCCCTGGCAGATAAGTATATTAATTGCCCTCCTCCCTTTCTCTATTGGTGCCATAAATAATGTGGCAACCAGCTCTACACTGAGCCAGGAGTACCACAGTGTGCTTAGTAGGGGGCCTCTCACTCACACCTGAACTGGGTACCAAGTGGGTCCTGTCATGGAGATTGCAAGACCTTGAAGGTTGCTTCTCATCCTTGGGTTGGGGCAATGGCTTCCTTGGAATGGGAGATTGATTTTCATGCCCCCCAGCCGGGGGCCCAGATTTTTATTTTGAACTAGGCTACGAAAATTCTGTAACTGGCCCCATGTTAAAGGCTGGGCAAGGGAAGTGAACTTTAGCTTTTCAAAACCATTGGAAAACCTCTGATGATGGAACAGAGGTGGCAAAGAAGCAAGCTCATATGTTCATGCCTAAGGCATGCAGGGGCATTTTGCCAGTGAGGTAGGGTTTTAATATTCTAGTCTTAGTCCATTCGTGCTGCTATGACAACATACCTGAGACTAGGTATCTGATAAAGAACAGAAATTTATTTCTCACAGTTCTGGAGCCTTGGAGTCCAAGATCAAGGTCCTGGCAGGTTTGACATCTGGTGAGAGCCCAAGTCTCCATTTCCATGATGGTGCTTTGCTGAGGCATCATCCAGAGGGGAGAAATGTTATATCCTCACAGGGCAGAAGAGATGAAAGAGGCGAAAACAGGACCAAACTCCCTCTGTTAAGCCCTTTTTAAATGGTCTTAATGCATTAATGAGGCCAGACCCCTCATGACCTGAGCATCTCACAAAGTCCCCAGCTCCCAACACTATTGCATTGGAGATTACAATTTGGTGGACACAATCAGACTATCACAATTCTTTTTTTTTTAATTTAAGTTTTAGGGTACATGTGCACAACGTGCAGGTTAGTCACATATGTATACATATGCCATGTTGGTGTGCTGCATCCATTAACTCGTCATTTAACATTAGGTATGTCTCCTAATGCTATCCTTCCCCCACTCCCAACCCCACAACAAGCCCTGGTGTGTGATGTTCCCCTTCCTGTGTCCATGTGTTCTCATTGTTCAATTCCCACCTATGAATGAGAACATCCAGTGTTTGTTTTTTTGTCCTTGTGATAGTTTGCTGAGAATGATGGTTTCCAGCTTCATCCATGTTCCTACAAAGGACATGAACTCATCATTTTTTATGGCTGCATAGTATTCCATGGTATATATGTGCCACATTTTCTTAATCCAGTCTATCATTGTTGGACATTTGGGTTGGTTCCAAGTCTTTGCTATTGTGAATAGTGCCACAATAAACATACGTGTGCATGTGTCTTTATAGCAGCATGATTTATAATCCTTTGGGTATATACCCAGTAATGGGATTGCTGGGTCAAATGGTATTTCTAGTTCTAGATCCCTGAGGAATTGCCACACTGACTTCCACAATGGTTGAACTAGTTTACAGTCCCACCAACAGTGTAAAAGTGTTCCTGTTTCTCCACATCCTCTCCGGCACCTGTTGTTTCCTGACTTTTTAATGATTGTCGTTCTAACTGGTGTGAGATGGTATCTCATTGTGGTTTTGATTTGCATTTCTCTGATGGCCAGTGATGATGAGCATTTTTTCATGTGTCTTTTGGCTGCATAAATGTCTTCTTTTGAGAAGTGTCTGTTCATATCCTTTGCCCACTTGTTGATGGGGTTGTTTGTTTTTTTTCTTGTAAATTTGTTTGAGTTCAGTGTAGATTCTGGATATTAGCCCTTTGTCAGATGAGTAGATTGCAAAAGTTCTGTGGGTTGCCTGTTCACTCTGATGGTAGTTTCTTTTGCTGTGCAGAAGCTCTTTAGTTGAATTAGATCCCATTTGGCAATTTTGTCTTTTGTTGCCATTGCTTTTGGTGTTTTAGACATGAAGTCCTTGCCCATGCCTATGTCCTGAATGGTGGTATTGCCTAGGTTTTCTTCTAGGGTTTTTATGGTTTTAGGTCTAATATTTAAGTCTTTAATCCATCTTGAATTAGTTTTTGTATAAGGTGTAAGGAAGGGATCCAGTTTCAGCTTTCTACGTATGGCTAGCCAGTTTTCCCAGCACCATTTATTAAATAGGGAATCCTTTCCCCATTGCTTGTTTTTGTCAGGTTTGTTAAAGATCAGAGGGTTGTAGATATGCAGCATTATTTCTGAGGGCTCTGTTCTGTTCTATTTGTCTATATCTCTGTTTTGGTACCAGTACCATGCTGTTTTGGTTACTGTAGCCTTGTAGTATAGTTTGAAGTCAGGTAGCGTGATGCCTCCAGCTTTGTTCTTTTGGCTTAGGATTGACTTGGCAATGCGGGCTCTTTTTTGGTTCCATATGAACTTTAAAGTAGTTTTTTCCAATTCTGTGAAGAAAGTCATTGGTAGGTTGATGGGGATGGCATTGAATCTATAAATGACCTTGGGCAGTATGGCCATTTTCACGATATTGATTCTTCCTACCCATGAGCCTGGAATGTTCTTCCATTTGTTTGTATCCTCTTTTATTTCGTTGAGCAGTGGTTTGTAGTTCTCCTTGAAGAGGTCCTTCACATCCTTGTAAGTTGGATTCCTAGGTATTTTATTCTCTTTGAAGCAATTGTGAATGGGAGTTCACTCATGATTTGGCTCTCTGTTTGTCTGTTATTGGTATATAAGAATGCTTGTGATTTTTGCACATTGATTTTGTATCCTGAGACTTTGCTGAAGTTGCTAATCAGCTTAAGGAGATTTTGGGCTGAGACAATGGGGTTTTCTAGATATACAATCATGTCATCTGCAAACAGGGACAATTTGACTTCCTCTTTTCCTAATTGAATACCCTTTATTTCTTTCTCCTGCCTGATTGCCCTGGCCAGAACTTCCAACACTCTGTTGAACAGGAGTGGTGAGAGAGGGCATCCCTGTCTTGTGCCCGTTTCCAAAGGGAATGCTTCCCATTTTTGCCCATTCAGTATGATATTAGCGGTGGGTTTGTCATAGATAGCTCTTATGATTTTGAGATACATCACATCAATACCTAATTTATTGAGAGTTTTTAGCATGAAGGGTTGTTGAATTTTGTCAAAGGCCTTTTCTGCATCTATGGAGATAGTCATATGGTTTTTGTCATTGGTTCTGTTTATATGCTGGATTACATTTATTGATTTTCATATGTTAAACCAGCCCTGCATCCCAGGGATGAAGCCCACTGGATCATGGTGGATAAGCTTTTTGATGTGCTGCTGGATTCGGTTTGCCAGTATTTTATTGAGGATTTTTGCATTGATGTTCATCAAAGGTATTGGTCTAAAATTCTCTTTTTTTGTTTTGTCTCTGCCAGGCTTTGGTATCAGGATGATGCTGGCCTCACAAAATGAGTTAGGGAGGATTCCCTCTTTTTCTATTGATTGGAATAGTTTCAGAAGGAATGGTACCAGCTCCTCCTTGTACCTCTGGTAGAATTCGGCTGTGAATCCATCTGGTCCTGGACTTTTTTTGGTTGGTAAGCTATTAATTATTGCCTCAATTTCGGAGCCTGTTATTGGTCTATTCAGAGATTCAACTTCTTCCTGGTTTGGCCTTGGGAGGGTGTATGTGTCGAGGAATTTATCCATTTCTTCTAGATTTTCTAGTTTATTTGCGTAGAGGTGTTTATAGTATTCTCTGATGGTAGTTTGTATTTCCGTGGGATCAGTAGTGATATCCCCTTTATCTTTTTTTGTTGCGTCTATTTGATTCTTCTCTCTTTTCTTCTTTATTAGTCTTGCTAGCGGTCTGTCAATTTTGTTGATCTTTTCAAAAAACCAGCTCCTGGATTCATGGATTTTTTGAAGGGTTTTTTGTGTCTCTATCTCCTTCAGTTCTGCTCTGATCTTAGTTATTTCTTGCCTTCTGCTAGCTTTTGAATGTGTTTGCTCTTGCTTCTCTAGTTCTTTTAATTGTGATGTTAGGGTGTCAATTTTAAATCTTTCCTGCTTTCTCTTGTGGGCATTTAGTGCTATAAATTTCCCTCTACACACTGCTTTGAATGTGTCCCCGAGATTCTGGTATGTTGTGTCTTTGTTCTCGTTGGTTTCAAAGAACATCTTTATTTCTGCCTTCATTTCGTGATGTACCCAGTAGTTATTCAGGAGCAGGTTGTTCCGTTTCCATGTAGTTCAGTGATTTTGAACAATTCTTTCACTTAAAAAAAAATGAAGACACAACAAATATGACATAATGAGACCAATCATGAATTACGGTTGGTGATAGGTGGAGTTTTGCTAAGTTAGTCTCTGTAGTTTTCAGTTTTCTTTTTATCTCTCAAAATGCTCAATTGAAAGAGTAATAGGACATGGAAGCATTTATTTAATAAATAATTTCAACTAAATCTCTTAGGAGCTTGCAGTGTATGTATTCATCATATTGACTTTTGGCTTTGCATGATATGGGCACGCCTCTACCTCATTGTTTTTTCCAGTGTCTTACCGTAGCTAATGCATTGCCAAAGAACCTTTCCAATGTATCAGCTTTCATTCACCCATTCATTCATTCCAGAAATTATTGAGTTTCTGTATATGCAGATATCATGAATAAAGAGATTTTTTTCAAAACCAAGATTATTGTTTCTAAATGCCTGAAAATATGTAAACTAATGCTTACAAAATAATATGATAGCAGCAGAAAATTCCAGTATGCCATGAAATTAGAGAGGAGTATTCCTAACCCACACGAGAGATTACCAAAATTGGTCCTGGAAAAGACAGTGATTAATGGAGCTCTTAGACTTCACAGGATGAAATAGCAAATAGTTGTGCATAGAGAAGAAGGAAGGACATTTCCAGTAGAAGGAACTATATGTGCAAAATTAAGTGGCGTGTTCAGAATGTTGCAAAATGTCTGGATTACAGGAAGGGTAAGTTCCATGCCGCAGAACAGTCGCAGGTAAGTTCAGAAAGGGAGGAAGGCAGCAGAATACGAGAGGCTTTATCTATCCTTCATGTATATATATAAAGACTTTATTTTTTAGAGCAGTTTAAGCTTCACAGCCAAACCAAGAGAAGGATATGGAAGATTTCCCATCTACCCCCTGTTCCACATATGCATAGCCTCCTTCACTATCAACATTCAACACCAGATTGATACATTTGTTACAACTGATGAACCTACATTGACACATCCTTATCACCCAAAGTCCGTAGCTTAAATAAGGGTTCCCTCTTGGTGTTGCACATTCTTTGGGTTTGGACAAATGTATTATGACATATACAAGTCATTATAATATTATACAGAGTATTTCACTGCCCTAAAAACCCTCTGTGCCGTCCTGAATATTTTCATAAGTCCTTTTCAATCTCCTTGGCACATAAAGCCTGTCATCACATGCTGGCAGAAAAATTATAAATGGAAATATTTTTCTGGGTAATATATAGGCGGATATAATGAATTCACCAAACAACATTCATGCACACTTTATTCACAAAATGGAGGAAGTCTTACTGGACCTTATATAAATCTAAAATTTTCCACAGTTTGAATAGGAAAGAATCAAAGTTACTCACCTCTATCTGGATTGGGTCAGCAATCTGGATGAAATACTTTTTATTAAACTTCTCCCATACCAGCCTATCTTCTCATGATGAAATGCTCCCTCAATTTGTTCTGAGTTACTGGGAAGGGCACTTCTCCCATACACAGAATGAATCTGGGAAATCAATCTTCAACGTATTTTGCCCTTGAGCTACCCACATAATGTGTATATATTTATAAAACAGTATTAGAGTTTTTCTTCAATTGTTTATACCCACGGGATACACCCAGTGTTATGGCGATCATACATATTCTTAATAATTTCCTGAATAATTGCCTTCTACTTTGATTGTTTGCAAATTTGGATTGTGCTGTTCAAATATCCTTGAAGCAAGGGGATAAGCTTATGTATCTTACAAACACACTTACACAAAAATATTTGAATATACAGATTCGTATCCATAGTGTCGATTCAAATTCAAGATATGCCAGAGTGAGAGCTTGTTTTGAGAATTAGAAGCTGTGATTATCAAACATAGCATACACAACTTTTAAAAGAAACAATCACTTGATCCTTAAGCAGTAACTACTTCTATTTGTCCAAATATGATAGGATGGTTTTTAGCTCTCAAAACATACTCTTTGAAAGAAAGGAAACAAATTTCTGTAATGATCTTAAGGAAGCATATTTGTGAGAACAATTGCTTTGTCTTCTCAACACACTATTACTGAAAACCTAAAAAAGCTTGATTCTGTCTCTCCTAATAGTCCTTTTAGACATATACTTTACCAAATAGCAGTAGCTTCAAATGCTGTCTTCAGGACTGTCAAAAGAAAAAAAGATAGCATTAAGCGTTTATGCATAAAAATGATGGTGTATGTTTCTTTCGTTCTTAAAAATAAATTTGGCTGGGCACGGTGGCTCACGCCTTTAATCCCAGCACTTTGAGAGGCCGAAGTCAGCAGATCATGAGGTCAAGAGATCAAGATCATCCTGGCCAATATGTTGAAACCCTGTCTCTGCTAAAAATACAAAAATTAGCTGAGCATGGTGGCGCATGCCTATAGTCCCAGCTACTCGGGAGGCTGAGGCAGGAGAATCCCTGAACTTGGGAGTCAGAGGTTGCAGTGAGCCAAGATTGTGCCATTGCACTCCAGCCTAGTAACAGAGCGAGACTACGTCTTAAAAAAAAAAAAAAAAGTTAAATTCTTTGGCAGTTCTGCTTGCTATACCATGCAGAAACATAACTCTTTGGTCCCATGTCACTGGCCAAAGTAAACCACAGTCCATTCAGCCACCAACAGAGTAGGGAAGCACAAATCTACCATGTGCTGTAATGACAACTCGAATCCCCTTTTAGATTAACTGTGAGTCCAATAAGGGGAAAATAACTGTTAGGTATTATGAGCACATACATCCCTATTAAGTAGAAGTGGCTTAATATTTAGGGAAAAATTTGCTACCTATTCTTATAAGAATTACAAAGTTCCTCATAGATGAATAAGGCTAAAATTCAGATTTATAATTCCAAGGGAATCGTAAATGAACTGAGGCTAAATACCCAGTTCCTTTCCTCTATTTTCCAGGAATTCAGGAAACTTAGGAAGGACAAGATGCCACAGCACATCAGTTTGATAATAAGGCTTGGAGAGATGTGATTTTCAAAGCTTGAACCTATCAAACTGATTCTAGTGTTTGCCACCTCCAGTCTCACATATAATTTTTCAACCAGGACAGGATGACAAAAAAACACAGAAATGTGTCTGAGGTGTTAATATAGAATGCAGGTTCAGATTGCAGGTGGGCTTTGTTTTAGAAGCAATGAGATTGCCACACACAGAAAGACATTTAAAACATTACCTTAAGCTAAACAAACACCACATTTTCAAGGTGCCTCATCATTAACCTTGGAATGTTGATATGCCCAGGGACAGAAAACAACACAATGACAGGCTATAGAAAAGGCAAAGAATATTTGTAGAGGATGGTGTGTGTGTGTGTGTGTGTGTGTGTGTGTGTGTGTGTGTGTGTGTCATGGAGAGGGAGAGGAAGACAAGAGACAGAGAATAGCATGACAAAATGGAAATGCATGTTTAATCTCAGATTTTCTATAGCATATGGCGTTCTTAGTAATACGATTTGAATGGGTAGGAAGATGCATTTTCATATCACTTTATACTAATTATCCAAATCAAAGAACAGAGGTAGGTGGACATAATGGGGGAGATATAGCCGCCCACTTAGTCCCCACCTAAACACCAACACTGGTGGTGATTCTATAGTTTCTATTTCCTATCCCAAACAGCAAGGTTGTTATTGTTATGGTAGTCCAGATATTGCTCCAGTTTTGTTCTAAAATGCTCAACATCTGGGTCTTTTTAATTTCAAGAGTATTTTGCATTATTTAGAGGTCGTAAAGTAGCTGAGTGCTATCTTTTCACATGAAAACTAGTAGCATGTTTGTTCCCACATGCAATATCGCCAGCAGGTCAGGCAAGTCAAATACCATTGCAGTCTGACCGTGCTGTCCTGCTGTATATTACATCAACAATTTGTATATAACAAAAACAGATTTCCTAGCCTTGGCTGATAGCCCATTTACTCCAAGTAATAGTTGATAAAACACAATTGAAAGACAGCAAGAGAATTTGGACAGTCCCTTGGAGTTTGCTAAAATGGATTTGGCCTGTGGCTCTGCTCCTGATAGCCAGCTGTCTTTTCACTACTACATTTCTTCTTCGTAAATGTTATTTATAGCTTTAAAATGTTTTCAAGGATAAAGTGGTAGCACACACAAGGCATTTTCTGTGCTTTGCCGATGATGGAAGCACTCAGAGAAATAACTGTTGTAGTAAGATAATCACTTTTTCATCCTTATGGAAGCCCATTGTGAATGAGTGAGCTGCCACTTCTTCCTGGCTATTAAACATTGCTGACAATGCCTTTTCCTACTATTCTTTTAAAGAGGACCTCAAATTAAACCTATTACACCTTAGATCCCAATTACATGGAAATCCACAACCTTTCCGAAATGTGTCTAAGCGCTAACATAAAGACCCACTCCATTCAATATTCCTACTAACTGGTTTAGGGTCTTGACCTTGCCTAGTAAGAAGATTATAGAAATGCCTGAAGGACAATTTTGGGTATAAAACCAAATGTCCCCCTGTGCATTACAATCGCCCAAAAAAAAAAAAAAAACTTTCATCTTTTTATTAATTGTATAATTAATGCATTCTGTGTACTGATAAGAATAATGCCATGTAATTAATTTTTAAGAATTAAAAACTTGCCTTTATCCAGACTCATGGTCTACTTTCATGTTTATAGCTATGAATATAAATCCTCTTATCTAATTATAACATGACTGGTTTCATTGTTGAAACAAAGTGGTTCTTTGTCATTTTTTATTTGATTATGTAATATTTATTTTATTATATTAATTATAATCTTTCCAGAAAAAAAAATAAGACCCTAGGACTTAAAATTTTAAGTCTTCCAAAGCTTATCAGAAAAATGCCATGCTGCTTTGGATAAGGTATGATATGTCATTTGTTTTCTGTGTCTGTTTTTGTCTTCCATGATTACCCATTCTGTTTACCAAAAGGCTCAATTAGCATTTGAATAGTGAGCCAGAGAGCAGACAGGTTGAGAATTCTTATAGAACTAATTTGGCAGTCCTTCTCATTTTCCCCCTTCTCCCTTCATAGGCTTTTCTTTGCCTCTAATCAAGCTGCAGTTATTAAAGCTAGAATAAAAGACCTGATTTTCCATTACATTGATGCATGCTGAACAGAGCCTTGATTTGCTTTTTCTTTCAGCAATGCTAATTGGACTCAAAGGAAATATTTAGTTTATAATAGCAAATGAAGAATTCATTTAATTTTAAGGAAAGGGAAAATCAGCAATGGAACTAGCCTACACACACACACACACACACACACACAGACACACACACACACACACACACGCGTATATATGTTTTTCCCAACTGTTTCTTTCCTTTAAGAGTATTTATCTTAATGCTTCTCACACATAACAGAGTTATTTAATTACCAATGCTAAAAACCTTAGGCTGGAGAAGTTTACAGCTGACAGAAAAATTTCTAATCCTTGCTTGGAAGAAAAAAAAAAGTAATATATTGGGAAATCTCACTTCAAATATACCTGATCAATATATAAGAAAGAATTAATGTAAGCACAACTGTTTTCAAGTACTATTTGCACTTCAGATCATTGGATATCTTCCAGACTAAGTTTTCCTCACCAATCACTATTTTTATCAGATAATGGGCTGGTATTTTTCCCTGGACCATGCTGTTGAATTAGAATGAGTGCAGGACTTTACACATGAAGCATGGTTAATATTAACATTCAAATGTCATATCATGTGCTGGTACTCATCACCAGAAAGACTTTAAAGCTTCATGCTGAGGAGGGAGTTCTTTATTTAAAAGTGGTAATCAACAAATTTTAACAGAGTTGCAGCTCAAAAGAAAAAAAGGAAATTGTCAAAGGAGTGGAGGAAAATTTTGATATGCCAACTTATATATAATGTGCTATTATATCCTACATGAAGATTCAAAGCAATTTCCTTCAGAGAAATGTTTTTCCCTATGTCAATGGTGCAAACCTTTCAGGAGTATTGAAGCATTATAAAGGTGTTTTTATTTGCATTTGATGCCTCCTTTCTAACTCCTTGCCAACTATTTAAAAGGGGCAATAGAAGGTTTTATTTGAACATTTATGATTTAAAATTCATCCACTTTTTGAAATGAAGCATTTCACTCACTCCAGTCATATCAAAGTGCTTTTATTTCCGAGAAAGCATCATGGTCTTGACTCTGGGCCTTTGAATGCACTCTTCTATGCTCTTGGAATCCTTCCTTTCTGCGCTATGCTTGGCTTCCTTCTATTCAGTCTTCAAGACTCTGCTTAAATATTACTTCCTCTACAAGTCTTCCCTGATTCCTTCTGCCAAATTCCATTAAAATATCACACAATATCATCCCTACTATATATAACTATAGGTTCCTTAACACATGCAGTCTAGTGCTTCCTCTACTCTGTGGTTACACTTTTACTTGTAGAATCTCTAGCTACAGCCCCTGGGAACTGGTTGGAGCCTGTCTTACTCATCCTTGTACTATCAAGTATGTGTAGAATAAATTGATTTGCAGCAACCTAATTCAAGACCTAGTCCAATTAGAAAAGGTCAAAAATAGAGGAAGAGAACTTTTACTCCATGTATTGATTTACTTTAAAAAACGATTCAGGTTTTGATAATTCATAAGGTAAAATCATCTTAGGATTTTAAATCATATATTTGGCAAATGACAGTTAAAAAAATTAGTTGCCATTATTTATTATGTATCTAATATTGGCATATATTTTAATCCTTAGATCTCTCTTCTTTTTATATATAGTTGCTGGAAATGATCTTAATCACATTAATAACCCCCATGTTAGTAACTCCAATCTAGACCTTTCTTCTGAACCCCAGATTCCTTTTCCCAGCTGCCTATGTACATATTTAACATGGCCCAACTCTTCCTTACAAAAAACTGGTCCCCTTCCCATGTCCCTTTTTCAGTCAATACTGCTCATATCCAGTCCTATGGATTTCACCCTCAACATGTTTTCTGGTCCAAACTACTCACTTGACCTACTCCAGCGGCCCCTCAAATTGGTTTACTTAAGTTTATTTTTGCCCTGCTCCAACTCAATTGCAACAAGAATGAACTCTCCACTGCCAAATCTGAGCATTTTATCTTGTCGCTTAAGAAGCTTTAGTGCCATCCTATTGTTCTTAGGTTAAAAATAAAAGTTTGAGACCAGCCTGGCCAACATAGTGAAACCCTGTCTCTACTAAAAATATAAAAAATTAGCTGGGCGTGGTGGCAGGTACCTGTAATCCCAGCTACTTGGGAGGCTCAGGCAGGAGAATCGCTTGAAGCTGGGTGGCAGAGGTTGCAGTGAGCCGAGATCGTGCCACTGCACTCTAGCCCAGGGAACAGTGCAAGACTCCATCTCAAATAAAATAAAATACAATAAAAAATAAATAAAACTCATTAAATAATAAATAAATTAATTATAATAATTAAATAATAAATAAAACTCATTAAATAAATAAATAAAACTCACCTGCATGACTCCACGCATGAGGCTCTTCTCTACCTCTTGAGCCTCATGTTATACCACACTCCCATTGTTTTTCCCTCTCTAGTTATACTTTTAAAAGTCCTTCTCATGTGCCATAAGTTCTCTTTTGCCTATGCATTCTGTTCCACCCATAGCAGGATTCCTTCACCCTCTTATCCTGGTTAATTCTTTTTGTCTTTCAAGTTTATTGTCAATTTTTACTTTCTTAAGGAAACTTAGTCTGCTATTTCTGGGTAGGTCAATATGACTCCTAGAACACAATTAATTCTCTTGTGCTATTCCTTGTCATGCCCAGAGTGCTACATTTGCATGATTATTTTATTAACTGTTTCCTTGACTAAGTGTGGCTCCACAAGAGCAAGGCCCAGGTCCAGAACAGTATTGGCACGTAGTAATCATACGATCCATGTTTGTAGAAGGAAAAATAAATACATGAATATATGCCAAGTACTGTGCTAAGAGTTTTAGCTGTTCAATAAATATTTGTCAAATAAATGAGCTGTTCAGTAAGCTGGGTGTTTGGTGACATGGAAAACAAGTAGGTATTGGACATTTTTTTTCTGTCTTAGAAAATCTATTAGCATAATTTCTACGCAACTATTCTGGATAAATCATTATTATGATGATGCCTGAAAAACACTCAATATTATCATTGTATGAAATAAAAGCAGACATTTGTGTGCCCTTCAAAAGTATGAATGCATTTCTGTTGGAAGAAAGAGACTAGTACTTGAAGAAGTGAATGAAAAGAGGATAAGTAAATTAATATTTATTGTGTCCCCTTTTCTGCCCTTTGCCCCCACACATACTCTGATAATTCCGAAGACATCATTATGAATTCGGTTTTGTAAATAAAGAAACAAATTCCCAAAAGGAGTAAATAGCCTACATTGCACCACCAATGTGTGGTAATGCTAGAATGCCACTAATAACACTCAGTCTCCATACAACTTTTCTTTCTGTCACACACAGGTACAATTTGAACTGTACAATGCTAATGCAGTTATCCAAACAAAATCATTTGATCGTTAGCGGTCAAATGTGTCAGCCAGTTTGTAAGTCAGCTTATTGGTGTAGCCACTTTTTTAGTTCTGTTTCAACTCCATTAATAAATAGTATAGGCCAGGTGCAGTGGCTCACCCTGTTATCCCAGCACTTTGGGAAGCCGAGGCGGGTGGATCACCTGAGGTCAAGAGTTTGAGACCAGCCTGACCAACATGGTAAAGCCCCATCTCTACTAAAACTACAAAAACTAGCTAGGCTTGGGGTGGGGGTTGCCTGTAATCCCAGCTACTCAGGAGGCTGAGGCAGGAGAATTACTTAAACCCGAGAGGTGGAGGTTGCAGTGAGCCGAGATCGCACCATTGCATTTCAGCCTGGGCAACAAGAGCGAAACTCTGTCTCAAAAAAAATAAAATAAAATAAAATAAAATAATAAATAAACAGTATGTAAGCCCTTGCTGGGAGCATATTTGTATTTATTTTCCTAAGTACTTACTTTCTCATGTTTTACATCTTTAAGATCATCACAATTTTACTAATTTGCCTCTCTTTATTGTTTCAATTAAAACCAGTAAAAATAATCTTCATTTACCTTTACTTTTGCCTATAATGGGTTGAACAGTGTCCCCCCAAAATTCATGTCCAGTTAGAGCCTCAGAATATGACCTTTTTTTGGAAATAAGGTCTCTGCAGATGTCGTTAGTTAAGGATTGAGATGATATCATCATGGATTTCAGGTGGGCCTTAAAACCAGTGATTGGTGTCTATATAAAAAGAGGAGAAGGACATCGTGACATAGAAAAGAGGGTGATGTGACGATGGGGTCAGAGATTGGAGCAGTGCACCTAAAAGCCAATGAATGACAAGGATCACCAGCTACCAATACAAGCTAGAGAGTAGCAAGGAAGGATTCCTCCCTAGAGCGTTTGGCAGAACATGGTTCTGCTGACTACAACTTGGTTTTGGACCTCTAACCCACAAACTACGAGAAAATAAATGTCTGTTATTTCAAGCCACTCAGTTTGTTAGTAATGGGTTACGGCAGCCCTCGCAAACTAATACAGTGTCCTGAATTATAATAAATCATTTCAGTTTAGAGGGAGTTTGCTTGACAGATGCCTTTTAGATACAATTGTCCTGTGGGCTGTCACCCCTGCTACCATTTCCAAAGGATACTGGGAGTCCACTCATGAATAATGTCTTAGTAGCTTTAAAAGAAGATGGGCAGGTTTCTTGGTGTCCAAGTAATTTTAAATAATGATGGATCTAGGAGATATAAGTTCAGTTCACTGTGCCTACACCTAGTCATCTATTTTAAGTAAGAACCTAAATAGGAATAAAATACATAGTTGACCAGGTGCTGTGGCTCATGCCTGTAATCCCAGAACTTTGGTTGGCCAAGGCCGGTGGATCACTTGAGGTCAGGAATTCAAGACCAGCCTGGCCAATGTGATGAAACCCTGTCTCTACTAAAAATACAACAATTAGCTGGGTATAGTGGCAGGCGCCTGTAATCCCAGCTACTCGGGAGGCTGATACAGGGGAATCACTTGAACCCGGGAGGTGGAAGTTGCAGTGAGCCGAGATTGGGCACTCCAGCCTGGGCAACAGAGCAAGACTCCATCTCAAAAACAAAAAAAAAAACCACATAGTTATTTTCAGGAGGCAGCCTAAACAGCTAAGAAATTAGTTGCTTATGGGAGGTAGGAGGACACGTTATTATGGAAGAGTTGATGTGTACACATTCACCTACTCTGCCACTTGTCAGTTACATCTTTGCCAACTGAAACTGTTTAAAAAAATGCTTGTATCAACAATTAAATAAACCACCTCTGATATTTAGAAAACTTTCCTTAGCTTCCTACTTGACACTTTGCACATTTTCTCCCACAAAGCAAGTTTCTCCTCTTAATTAACCAAAGGCAAGAATGATTTCTTTCAAAACTCAAACCTATACATTTAGAAAGAAAAACACCAACCCGAGGGTAAATTCATTCACATCGGTGTGTAAAACAGACCACTTCTGTTCAAAGCCCAGGAAGTGCTGATCACGCTCCTGGCCTCAATAGAAGATACAGATCATTAAAGCTCAACCCAGTGTCTGTAGCTAGGTTGTTTATTACAAAAGTAAGAATCACTAACATGTCCTCTTTGCTAGAACCATAAATCTGAAACTTCTCTTTATTAAAACTGAGATTTGACAACTGCAATACCATAGCTCCCCCTGCTGTTCTGATGCATATTGTCAGCTGCCTTTGGCAAAATCATTTTATGCCTTTCCCTTCCATTCGGCCCTCCTCTGAGCTGTTTCTGATATCTAAGTTTCCGTTTGCTTCTTAATTCTTCATCTCACCTCCCTGTGCTATTTAGCAACCCAATGGCAATTTGGAAATCGATTTTTTATGATCCTCATGTTAATATCATCTTTCACAGGCAGTGTTGGAATGATTCTACTTTTATTTAAGATCATTTCAACTGCTCTGCTAGAGCAGCTTGGAGCCTCGGAAATGGAGTTTCTACTTGCATGGACCCCTCATACATACCTCCCTGCACACACATACAGTAGTTTAAACAAACTGGAAACAAAAGAAACGTACATAACAGCCAAAAATGTTGCTAAGAACTTTATAAAGCAACGACAGAGCAGCATCAAAGCATCTGCAAATGCTTTCTCTTTCCAAATTAATACTCTATCAGTATAAAGGAGGCCACTCACCACTGGCTATATTTTCATTTTTATAAAGTATTTTTATGACTGTTTAGGGAAAGCCTGTATACAGCCATTCCCTCCATTTTGTGTGTGTAGTTTTCTTGCTCTGAGCCAACATTCCATCACCTTGGCCAAAGTAACATATATATATATATATATATACACACACACACATATATATGTATAATTTATAAACGTATTTAATTTTTATATGTATTTAATTTATATATTTAAGGTATGGCTTGACATACATTTTGGAAGATGCCTGGAGTATAAGTTATGGGTGACTGCAGAATCCTGATCTGGTAGGCTCTAGATCCTGAAGGCATTTTTCCTAAGTTAAAATTATGCATATATGCAAGATAAGGAACATGTATGTACCCCTTGTCTGGGATAGATGGCAGGCTAAGGGACCAATTTTAAGAAGACCAAGTGGACCTGCCATCTGGTATTTGTAATCATCAACTTCCATGTATGCCTCACCACTGGACTAGAAGCTACTTGAAGACAAACATTGTAAATTGTTCTCCAGCTCTTTCAGCATCAGTACAGAAAGCATTTTATGGATCTTGTGTGGCTGAGAGAATTAATGCATGAATGAACACTGCAGACCCTTAAAATCCTGTTAGGCAATATCGTTCCTTTCTAGACTCATCTTGCAGGCTCTATTCAAAAATGAAGCCAAAGGAAATTAGGATTTCAATCATTAGCTTTCCATGGCATATTTAGTTTGCTTTGTGTACATTTTCTCAAGCAATAGGCATTGTGTATGCCTTTGCTTTTGTAAAATATCCTACAGAGTTATTGGGAGAGATATAAGAAATATGTTACCAGATTCAAAAAGCACATAAGATAACCTGGAAGGCAAAACCAAACCACAAAGGAAACCATATATAAAACATTTAATTTCCAAACTGTACTTTACAAATAAGCATTTTGCAATTTTGATTAATCAATATTTATCAGCCAGTCTTTGTGGCTTGTTTCCTTTGAGCAAAGCACAATGCTGATGCAGTTTTTAGGAACTGCATACCTAGACGGATGAAATAGTAAACCCTGGGGCTGCTGCTATCAAAGGGCTTGTAAAACAGCATTTTCTGGATAGCCCATCATCTAATATGGTGCAATATGCGAGGTCTGCTTTCAGCTAGAACCAAATGTAAAAATTATGATTTTTATCAAAGAGCAAGCATGCCAAAGCCCTCTCCTGCTGCTGCAGCACCGGGCAAATGCAGGCCATGAGACCAAAAGCCAATGACCAAGGAAGGTTAAGGAAACACAGAAGAGAGCAAAAGCAAAAGCTATGAGACAGAGCGAAATCACATTGACAGATAGTTAAAGCCTGGAGCCCTCTTGTGTGATAATACCTGGAGCACACTGAAGGAACCTGTGCAGTTGTTACAGCATGGCTTTAATATGTACTTTGCAATCATTGCAGATGATGAATGCATATTCTGCTGTTATTTTTTTCTTTGTCAAATTGTGTGTCAAATATAGGATGATAGTAAAAAAAAAATTAAATGCCATATACCCCCATGCTTTTTTATTATCATCCCTAGGTAGAACTGCTGAGAACAACTTCATACATTTAATTTCAAGTCATTTAAAAAATAAGCTTAGAAACATAGAATCATTATGTAATCATTTCTCTTGCTCCCTCTGTGTGCATACATGTGTAGACATGGTTTTTTAAACATAAAAGAGAATTTATGACATTGATATTAACATCCATAGAATTAAGTCACCATTCTTACAGAGGGATAAAAGACAAAAATACTGATTATGAGAGACACAAAGAAGAACTAGCAGACCCTAAGTTATAGAAGATAGCAAAGAGGGAGCATCTGGGCAAAAATTGAGATAATTTCTTTACTGTGAATGTGATTAGGAAATACACAAATTCCTTAGTGAATAAGACTTTAAAATGCATGTCAGATTTAAAACTCTATTGGCTTTATCTATCATTTATCTGTTTTATTTTCTTATTGTATATCATATGCTATATACACACATGCACACTTATTCCTTACTATAAATTTAGTCATTCTCAATCTTAAATTCCCAAGTTGAAATATTCTTGAACATAGGATTAGACTCAGAAAACCCCACCTGATAATTACCGCCAACATTCTGGTTCCTAATGTGTTGCCAACTAGGAAACCCTCACCTGTCACAGAATGTTTCTCTAACAGAGTTGATTCTTGTGTGAATGTGTTTGAATCATAATTATGCCAGCATTTTCTCCATTGTTGTTCCTTGGAAGACTTTACCTGGGGTTAGTAATAGGGAAACTATGGGGGAAAAGGTGTTTCATGTACAAATAAGTTTGGGAAAGAGGGGTGAACAGTGGTTCAGGAATTCTGAACCTCAATATGATACTAATACTCATTATACATGCCAAATGTTTATTATGCGTGCCAGAGGAATACATAATATACCTGGTCTTCAACGTGATTATTTGTTGAAGGAGCGTTATTTTCAGCCATGGACCTGTTTACATCGTCTAGTGCTTGTGTTTGATGGAATCCCGTGTTGGAAATGTTGTTTTAGTCCTAATAGTGTAGGGTGCATTAAGTTTTTAAGACTGGGGCAATCCATCAGGGAGTGTATTCTGGGAGAATTCAAGCAGAGACATGTTTTAAAGGAAGTAAGAAAAGTTCTGTAAGTTATATAATTATAAAAATAAGACCAACATTAAGTTGTAGTAAATTTTGTTGTTTGTTCCTTTCTAACACTAGAGCACCCACAACTTTTACCTTCCATATCAGTTTGCAGACAAACCGCTAAAAGTTGCAAGAGTTCATAATGTAACTTGGCAGTAATGCTAACAATGCAATGCCTATTGCACAAAGTTTATGTCTATCTTTGTGAATCAAAATAGCTTTTGTATGATTTTCTTATTTCAAAATAACTAATATTTTTATTTCATTTTAAGCATAGCTTCTTCTCTTTCAAATACATGTTAGCTTCAAGAAAAAAGCTCACAGCTGAGCCCGGGTTTAGTCATTTGAATCCTTTGTGTCCATCAGTGATAGAAAACTTTCATATTTTCACAATATATGTAGTATTAAATACTCCTCTGAATATTTTGCACCATTTCTATTTGGTGATTATCCATCTAGAAGTACTTGTTAAGTGGGTGTGTTTTTACACCTTTGTCCATGATTATGCTGAAAAGAGAAAATCTGTTAATTGGCAGCAAATCTATTTAGGATAAAAGTATGTTGCCATTGAAATCTATTTCATTGATTTCAATGGATAGTATTTATTTTTGTTTCATAAATTCCACTAGAATTGAACAATTTGTCAAGTACAAAATGGTAAGGAACATGGATTTATTTAAAGGCTACATTACAAAAATTAAATGTAATCCTTTCTCAAAGTCATGAAACTCACCATTTTACTCGATTACATTCTAGACTAATAAAAATGACTTCCGAAAGAAAAAAAAAGTTTGTTTTCCATTCATTTGATAATAAATAAATGAATGGATGCAGAAAAACAGAACCGATTTCATCATGTTGTGCCAAAATGACATACTTATCTATTAAATGATTTAACTTACATAAAGCATTAAAATTTCTCATGCAATAATATTATTCCTGTTCTTCTATCTTCATCCTTAAACAAAAACAAATTCTCAAAGCTTCAATTCACAAATCTTTTTTTAAAAGTGTCAATAACACCAGTAAATCATGATTTGTGTGACCAGAAACAATGGTACAATACTGGTAATAAAATGTCAGCTGACATCTATTGAGCACCCACTATATACTGACAACTGTAACACCCTGTTTTTTCCCTTGTTCCACAGTGAGTTCTAGGATTCACATTTGTTGCCCAGGGACATTTTTACATCAAGCCAGAGTGTGTGGAACCAGCCCAACCTGAGTTATAAGGATTAAAACGGCAGATAGGTTGTTTCCTCAAAAGAAATATTGGGAGTCCATTACCAAAATGAGGGTAATTTATACTTTGCAGGAAAATCATGATTTTACACCTGCCAACTTTTTGAAAGAATCACTAACACATATATTTAAAAGAATTTTATTCTTCAGTCTCCTCCCACTTACAGTAATGGTATGCTACTTTATTTAATATCACTTTTCTTGAATTCTCAGCCGCTCTTGATCCTCTTCCCCACCTCCTTTGCTAATTTTTAAATCTTACATCTACCATTAAAGGTGGGTACTTGCCAACTTTCTACCCTCTTACCATTGTCCACTGTCTCTTTCTCTTAAACAACTATTCTGGGGCAGTCAGATTTTTGTTGACAATATGGAGAGTGGACTGAAATCTACAACAATTTTCAAAATAAGAGCAGTAAATCTTCTCTCCAGTTCTAACCTTTGAGAGGAGAGTTCTGTTCTGGGCAAAATGCCCAGCACAGAATCTGCATCAGTGTTCTCTGAAAATGGGCAAATAATATTATCCATTGATGTTAAAACGTTTAAGGAAAAATAGACCATCAGGAAAGTTTTATTATTAATTAAATGTACAAATGCATCAATTAATTTTTAACCTAACAGATTTTCTGATCACTGGTTTACAGCAAAGATTAATGATGATTCTTTGCACACAGATATTTTCTCTTACAAAAACAAAGTGAGAAAATCTAGTATCAAATGGTTCCTATTTAAAGGTTTTCAAAGAGCCTTACTTATATTACCAAGTGAAATTAAGTTAATGTTGTTATTTTCTGTTGTCAAAAGAGCAACTACTCATACAACATGTTTATTATAAAATTCAATGAAAACAAATTACAAATAAGAAAGAAAAGATGCAGATTTGTTTCGGAAATGTATTTTCATTGAATATTGTCATGCTATTTTGACATTAAGCAGTTTTATTTTACCAAGTAAATGAAAATCAAGATGTTCTGAAGAAAGTAGATGCTCATGTAAAGTTGTACTACATATGTAATATACTTTGAGCAGCAAGTCAAATTTTAATATACTGAGCAGTTTTTACATCCACAGCAATATTCTTTTAATGGCATATTCAAGTTTGAAATCCACAAACATCAGGAAATGCTATTTAAAAATATTTCAGGTATTTAAATAAAATAGCTTGTGGAAGAACTAAGAAAAAAAGTATTGAGTCAACATTTTTTGAATTAAGAAGACAAAAGTAAGCACCTTTACATCTAGCTAGTAGAACCACTCATCAACAGAACATATAGTAGCTACCTATCCTTGCAATTGCTGCATTATATGAGGATAATTGAATTTTGATCTCCTGGAACTTACAATTAAAGACCAGTAATGATGAAGAGAAATATGGGTTACTGTTGAATATTTAGGATGATATATTTTATGTCTCAATGTCCACTCTCTAAGAAAGTTATAATAAGTGTATTTTTTATAATAACAACAGATTTCTTAGGTTAGTAATCTGTTGCTACTTGTGTTTCTATTTTTTTCAAGTGCAATTATTTCTGATCTATGTCCAAAAATTATTAAATTGATAAATATTTTCAGTCAATGTGCCACCACTGACAAATGTGATATAAAAAAATTAAGATTGCCAAAGGCTCTTAGACTATAATTTCTTCAATAGATCTTAGAGCTAGTGAATTTATTTGGCTTTCTACTCCTGCCTTTAAAAGATTTGCCATTCTGGGTGATCATTAAAAAGTCGGGAAACAACAGGTGCTGGAGAGGCTGTGGAGAAATAGGAACGCTTTTATACTGTTGGTGGGAAAGTAAATTAGTTCAACCATTGTGGAAGACAGTGTGGCGATTCCTCAAGGATCTAGAACCAGAAAAACCATTTGACCCAGCAATCCCATTACCGGGTATATACCCAAAGGATTATAAATCATTCTACTCTAAAGACACATGCACACATATGTTTATTGCAGCACTATTCACAATAGCAAAGACTTGGAAGCAACCCAAATGCCATTAATGGTAGACTGGATTAAGAAAATGTGGCACATATATACCATGAAATACTATGCAGCCATAATAAAGGATGAGTTCATGTTGTTTGCAGGGACATGGATGAAGCTGGAAACCGTCATTCTCAGCAAACTAACACAAGAACAGAAAACCAAATACCACATGTTCTCACTCATAAGTGGGAGTTGAACAAGGAGAACACATGGACACAGGGAGGGGAACATCAGACACTGGGGCCTGTTGTGGGGTGGGGGGATAGGGGAGGGATAGCATTAGGAGAAATACCTGATGTAGATGACGGGTTCATGGGTGCAGCAAACAACCATGGCACGTGTATACCAATGTAACACACCTGCACGTTCTGCACATATATCCCAGAAATTAAAGTGTAATAAAGACATTTTTTAAAAATGATTTGCCATTCCGGACTCCCATTATATGGATGAGGTTAGTGAGGCCTAAAGGTGTTACATGATGTGCTCGGTAGCATGATGCTGGTTAAGTTTAGTATAGTAAGATGAGAAAGATTTTTGTTTTAGTTCCAACTAGCATTGCACTCACTACATCATGCTCTAAAACAAAAGCAAGGAAAAAAGAAGCATTACACACTATTTAATTGTGTTTTCTAATAGCAGAGCTAACAAGTAAAATTCTACCTTTACCAAAGCTTTTAAAAATGAACAGGTTGCATGTAAGAAATTTAATGCTCTTTGAGCCATATTATTCATGTAATGTTGAAACTGTTCATGGTACATCATTCACCTGGATAGAAGAAGAAAACAGATTCTTTTTGTGTGGAATTATTTGCGACAGAGCCTTATGTTGAATGAAGCATTAGTCTCACTTTCTACAATATTCCTTATTTCATTTTATATCTATCATGAATCTTAAGTAAATATTTAACTTGTTTTTACAGTTTTTATTATGTAAAAATGCACAAAGAAATGAGGAAGAAAACCAATAAAATTATAATGAATTAGGATAAACCACTCCACAGATTGTCATATGGGGCAAAAAGTCTCATCAGAAAAACATGTAGGGATTTTGAAAAAAACCTTGCATTTCTTTTCTAATTTTTACTTTTAAATGATACTCAGACTTTTGAAAGATTTATTGGCTGACTTTTTTTGACTGTGTCAGAGGAAATGTTCCTTGTAATGATAAATAATATTTGCCATCTTTTAAATACATCCTATGTCCTTAATACTATAGCATTGAGACTGCCCTAAACCATAGTAAATAGCTTTAGTGTTTCATCCTTGTCTTTAGATTTTATTAAGAATATGTCATATGTATAAGATTAATCAAACAGGCCGGGCACAGTGGCTCATGCCTATATTCCCAGCACTTCGAGAGGCCGAGGTGGGCGGATTACAGGAGGTCAGGAGTTGAAGACCAGCCTGGCCAACATGGTGAAACTTTGTCTCTACTAAAAATACAAAAATTAGCTGGGCGTGGTGGCGGGCGCCTGTAATCCCAGCTACTCGGAAGGCTGAGGCAGGAGAATTGCTTGAACCTGGGAGTTGGTGGTTGCAGTGAGCCCAGATCAGGTCATTGCAGTCCGGCCTGGGCGACAAGAGCAAAACTCTGTCTCAAAAGAAAAAAAAAAAAGATTAATCAAACAAAATATTCTTGTAGAGAAATATAGAATATGAGGGAAAATTCTTTTTTGTAAGAATAAGAACATAGTTGGTTGTATACCTGCCATCTTATTTGAACACAATATTTCAATATGAGAAAAGCATGTGGAAATAGGGCCAATAGTTTCTCTTCTGTGAAGGATAACGTGCATGCTTTCTATTTTAAATTTTAAATGTTATGCTGTTATATAGAATTTTCTCTTTTTCATTTATCCCTGATATTTAGAAAGCAGGGACGGAATTATTATAATTATTCATAATTACATCTTTTAAAAATTATTCTAAAAAATGTTCAGATAACTATTTAAAGTCCCACTCCCTATTTTAAGCCTCACCCACATGTGATTATCTTCCTGAGGTTAGCCCATTTTCTCATTTACAATAGAAGCAATATTTGAAAACAACCATGAACCAGATCCCATTCCACAATACTTTAAGAAGACATTAGTATTTTATTGAAGTACTAAAGGGAGATTCAGCCATGAGGCAAAACTTCATAAAAATCACATTTATACTTCTGTATTCTCTACTTACTACCCAGATTTCCCTTGCCCCCAAAACTACCTCATCCCCCACCTCCCATCTCCCAGTTTGGTGTAGAGGGTGGATGCAAGGACAGAGAGTAGGAAGTGTGAGAAGCTCTCAATGTCATGTGCCCACTGAAACTGCTCCACAGAGGGAGCGAGCTTGGCAGTTTGTAAATTGCATCTTACAATGATATGGACAAGGGTTCAAATCCCAGTCCTGGACATTATCAGTACTAGGACCTTCAGAATGTATTTCATCGGTGTCAATTTCTTTCTTTCTTTTTTTTTTTTTTTTGAGTATTGTAAAACTGGTATGAAGATTAAATGAGATGAGGACGATAAAGTGCTCAGCATATGTTAGACTTTCAACGTAAGTTAGTTTCTTTCCCCATTTAGATGGCAGCAAGCAGATCTCTTTTTTTCTCTACATCCTGAAGGTACTTGTTTCCTGATCCTTCTTGAGAAGTGTGTTGTGGCCCTTTACTCTTTCTCTGGTCTCAACGAATAAGCTTCTTACTCATCTTGCAGATTCTGTGCCAGTGAGGGCTGACTGCATTCAGCCCTCCAACACAAATGCAGAAATGTTATCCCCTGCCCTATAGTGCCAGACAAATATTTAAGAGTCATAACATAATGAAATTGAAGTTTTAAGCATTTGGCATTCCCAGTCAATTAGGAATTAGGAGTTGAGTGAATATAATTTACAAGTCATTCAACAGTGTCTGGGAATATGGTAATAGCAAAGTTAGTGGTTTTCATTTGTCCTAATTTTATTCCATCAGTTATAAAATCCAAGAGAAAGTTTAATGCAAACAGGTCTATTCTGCCCTGTCTTTTCTTTCATATGTGTACTTTTTATAGTGGAGCATTTCTCTGTTTATTTGTTTGTTTGTTTCTTATTAGCATTTATTTCCACTTATTCTTATCAAGACATTCACTTTTCCTTCTGGAGATTCACTTCTCCCTCCCTCTAAATTCATAGATTTCAGTGATGCAAATTCCACCCATGTATCTAAGAGCTGGTCATTTAAAGAATTATTGCACTACAGAAGCCACCATGGTTGATTCAGGGATAGGCATGTTATCTAAGAAGAGCTACTATAACTGTTGTAGGGCTAGAAGAAAAAAAATCAGCCTACGAGTCTGGCTTCTCTTGCTTAGCATAACGCTTTATTCATGCGGTCTACCCTGAGAAGATAGGAAGCTGGAGATGTGCTGGCAACTTTTTTGCCATGGAATAAAGACAGAACACAAATTTAAACAATGAAAGACATTAAAATTCAACCCCAATGGCATTGTTTAAAGTCTTGGATCAAGTTGTCCGTGAGGCTGCCACTTGACTTTTTTTGTGAGCCAGTAAATTACTCTTGTTTTTCCTTAAACCAATTTTAGTTGGATTTTCACAACTTATGGCATAGACATTCTTAATTAATACTTTCCTATCTCAATTTTTCTTGTGTGAATAGTGATTTCCAATTCGTATTTTTCTGCTCTATTCTTTTAATTTTTTTCTCTTCTTGGCTCATGTACCATTTTCCTCCCTCTTTGTTACTTCACAGTTTTAACTTGAATAACATTATGAAAACAGACCAATATGAACCAAAAAAACTGTAAAAATCATTTATTTATGATGTATTTCCTTCCTTGAGGTATTACTTGCCCTTTATATCTGACGTTCCTTCAAGGCCTTTAATTAATTTCTACCAAGCTTCTTATGGGACCCGGCATGGTACCATGCACCCCATATGCACTCAAAGTATTAATTGGAAATAATGACAATGATCAACCTCATGAAACATTTTTAACTCTGTCCTTGTTCACCTGGCAAGCTGTGAACATGAAAGATGGGCAGAGAACTAGCCACCAGGAAGCAGAATTAATGAGCAGGGACAATGTCTAATTCTATATATTTTTAATCACATCTATTACAGTTAGCACTCAATTTAAATTAATAACATTAAGAGCAGAATTGGCAGTTCCCTTGTAAGATAAGTCAGTGGGCTCCATCCTAATAGGCCATGAACCATTAGGTCATGAAAGCCGTATTTTTATTTGTTCTTTTTTTCCACTTTCGCTTTACACATAGATGTTCTGAAGAATTCTTTTAAATACTCTAGAATAATCACCATATTCTCATTCCTTGATGCCTTTCAAAAGCAGGTCACATATTTGATTCTCTTCTAGGGCATTTAATTTGGATTTATAAAGTCATTTTCATATACCCTCCACCAACCATCTGTAGTTTTATTGTGAGAGGCTTCTCATCTCTCTGAGATACTCCTTCACTTGCAGAAATGTGAACCAGGAACAAGCCAATGGGGTGAAAGGGAGTGTGCAAAGTGTGGACGTGGCATACAAAACTTTCCAGGATCCGTCTGAGGGCTCGGAGTGGGGATCAGCTAAATCTTTTGTTTTTTCCTTTTCTCTTTCAGTCTTTGACAAAGCGTTTAAATGCGCATGAGGGATAAAAGTAGTAACAGAGCTTCTTTCTTATCTTAAGTGGGTTGTCACAAGGAGATCGGGGGAGATGAGATCTGCTTGGATTTTCTTAAATTCTACTTCAGATCTTAATTTTCTACACTCCCCTTCCCTAGGCCAGTTCCACTGATGTGAATTACTCAATATAACAAAGATTTCTTCTTTACTGTATTCTGTATTACCAAATTATGCTTGTTTAAACAAAGAAATCACACAGATATATGGAAAAGAAAGACCAGAATAAAATATGCCAGATTATACATTTGGTTTCTCACCATGCTAAGCTGGGTAATAGTTATTCTTGAAAATTTACTCACTACTTTCTATGTGTCTATATTTAGTAAGCATAAATTACTTTTTCATGATAATCAAAATTGAAAGAAGAAAACACAATTTTCTCTCTGGTTTTCCAATATCTTTCTTTTGTGTCGTAAGATTTCTAAATGAGTGTGAGCAAGTTACACACAGAATGTTTTCCTGAATTAACTATAAGAATAGCACAGAGAAAAAAAATCGGTTTAAAGTTACAATAATGTTACATTGCTCTCTGCTAAAGCTATGACTTTTTTCTTTTTATCAAATAAACTTGATAAAAATAAACATTTTTCCATATCAAATGAAGTTTATTTATGTGAAACAAGCCTTGGGCACGGCAGAAAAGGAGTAAGACATAGAAATAAAGTAAGAATTTTAGAGTGTAGGAGATTCCTAAAAAGTGAAAGGATGAGACCTCATTTCCCTTAGAGACAAAAAAGCAAAAGGTGGGAAATGAGAAAGATTGCAATTTTCTAGTGAAACATAGAATAAACTACACCCTCTTTTTTTTTTTAACTGAAATGCACAAAGGAGAAAATAACAGTTTATATTTGGCTACTAAGAAGGAGAAAAGCAAAATAGAATTCAAGCAAACTAATATCCTTGCTCAATTATTTCTCCTTTGAAAAGAATAAAGTAGGTAGGTACTTCCTCTCTGCAGTGAATTATAAAACGTAGTAATACCGTACAATCTGATCGACATACAGAAGTATGATAAAAAATACAATTGATCTATGTAAACATACATCGTATCTTTAACTGCTTTGTTAAGATAAGCATTCTAGTGAATCAACCCTTGCTAAAGAACACATCAGTCTGTATTGGTTGAAGTTGTGCTGAAATAACAACGTGCATTTGACATTAGCCACCTGAAATGATAGAATGTTTTATTTTTTATTCTTAAACAGTTTTTGTTGGTTAATAGCATTACCTCACAGAAGCACATATCACATCATAAAAAATCCCAGAAAAATTTGTATTCTGAAAAAGAAGCAAACAACGCAAATCTTATTTGATGATTTTTTTTAACCTTTGTTATAGAGAAAGGCTTTCATGACTCTTTATTTAAGCTGTAGGAAAAATATTACTCCTAGCTTCCTAGTTTTAGAAAATGGAATCTAAATCTAAAGCAAGTAAGATCTATTAATGATAGTAATATATAACGGTGAGGCCAACTGATTAAAAAAGCTCCTTTTCATTTATCATAAGATATATTGACACTCTACTTTAATCCTTGGTATACACATAGGAAGTTACTATAAGACACTTTAGACATATGTAAGCCTAACTCTTATGTTTTTAAGCTCTTGTTACTACAGTAATGAAGTTCAAATACATCAAATAGGAAAGATCAGTCACAAGCTTACAGACTTAGAAGTTTCTCTGCTAGGAGCAGGGACTGGACTTGCAGGGATACTTTATTACTGGTCTGTAGGAGGACTCTCCTCTGAAAAAGGATGAAATGTTAGACTCCTCTTTCTTTCATGTATTAAGGTAAAGGAACCATTTCAGTGAACCATGGAGTAAGTGACTATCCCCTATAGGTCACTAAAATTTAAACATCCCTGTGCTAGCGATCCTGGTCACTTTTGAGCTTTCAGTTTCTTAAAAATTGAATGCATTAACATATTATGCCTTAGTAACAACAACAAGAAAAAGAAAAGAAAAAAAGGCTGTTTGCATTGCTCCTGAGACAAAAAGGACAACTCCATACTTAAATATGTCTTTAAAACAGACTGGTAGTGGCTGAAGGAACTACTGCTAATCAGGAATGTTCTTTGGGGTTTTTTTTTTTTTTTTCCTTTCTAAAAGCCACATCAACCATCAGTTATGCTATTAATATTCATGATATTAAGAAAATAATCAGGTTACTCAAAGTACCTATTATACACCACTCTGATTCTTTGGTAGGAGAAGGTAAAAACACCTTCTTTTGTGATAGGCACATTTGTGAATTATGAATAGAAATTGTTAGCAAAGAATGAGAAATGTAGGGAAGAGAAGGAAACTTTTCCATTTGTGCTTTTAAAAGAATTTCTGAGCCCCCTCTTTTTGTTTTATCCTGACACATCAATCAGGAAATGTGATTATAATTCAGAAAGAATTAGACACTTAACCATATACTTAAGTAAGAGGTTTGACTGGGCCACTGGCTTTGAGGTTCAAGTGGCAGTTACAAAATCAAAATCAGGAGACAGAAAGAACAAGGTTACCATTACAGCGGGCACTGAGAGACTCACACAAGTGCCCGAGGGGAGTTAATATGGTTAAGGTTACCCATGTTTTGCACCATCTCATAAAACATTCTGTCTTGAGTATTACTTCTATTTACAAGAATGGGCTAATTCATTTATGTCAAATGTGGCTTTTGGATATTCAATTTTTTTTAATGTCACCAAAATTATCTCAGAGGAGCAGCTCTGACAGGTCAATCATTGCAGATGGTAAGTGCTTTGTTAATTATACAGAAATTTAGAAACCACTGTAGAATGTCTTGCCTCAGGAGAAATTTCTCTCTTCCTGTTTGAGAGCTGCTTCCCTCTACAGAATTAATTTTATGTTTGTGAACAGATAACAATCTCTGCCGCATGGCAGAAATAACTCCTTGTTCCTTGCTCAAATATGCAAGTGTAAATAAGCAGAGAATATCACAAATAAACAATGCCATTCTTTTTTAAATAATGCAGTGTGTGTAATTAAGAGTATGCAATTACAGCAGTGTACAGCTCTCAGTGTAACAATTAGGTTTTCAGTAAAATGTAATTTGTTCCAATGTAAATGTTTTTCCTCAATTCAGAAGATTCCCTTGAGTTGTTTCAATAAGCATATTTCTGCAAGTACATGGAGTTGTGCACTATGTTCCAATCTACAAATCAAAGAGGACAGCTATATCATAATAAGCTACTGAAATTGTCAAAGTATGAGCATTCCAGTGCTATCTTGAGATAGCAAAGCAGAAGTGGCCACTTTCTGGGAACTGTTGACATACAGGGTGCAAAAGTGGGGGATTGTAAAATATGACTTATTCCTGTATACATGCCCCTTTCAGATGTGACTTTGCCACTCCTTTCATAAAGAGAGGTAATCCTTCAATCTCTGCCGGCCTTGTGGTTTTCTTTGACCATGTAAGAGATGTGTAAGAGACATTATTTGATGTCCAAGGCTAGGCTTTAAAAGACTTTGTTGGAATGTGGCATGAGACTGTCATGTAAAGAAGCCAGACTAGACTATGGAGGAGGAGAGGCAAGGAGGGGAAGAAGCGAGGCCACAGTGACAGTCGACACCAAGTGCCAGACACACGAGTGAGGCCTGTTGGGTCTTCCAGCCTCACTGACTGCTAGCTGAATTCAGCCAAGTGAGTGAGCCCCAGTGAAATCTATAGACGAATTATCTAGACAACTAATAGAAGTGAAAGAAACAATTTTTGTTTTAGCCTCCAAATTTTAGCCTGGTTTGCTACACAGCAAAAGCTAACAAAAATAGTTCTTCTAGTGTTTGGTGCTACCGTTTTATCAATTTTGTTTCCCCAGAAACTTAGACAATTTGTAGTTTCCTCTCAATTCTGATGCATGACAATATTATCATATTTTTAATAAAAAAAGAAAAGTAAGAAAACAGAATTTAGTACATTAAACCTTAAAGTAAATTGGATTTTAGACCATCTAGTTTGAGAGTTTGAAAAGTGTGCTTCTTGGATTACTGTGCTGGGGAACATGAGGAAATTCTGAAGTGGTGATGGTGGAGGGGGATGGTCTGGATTTCCCATATTTGCCTCCCTCATGCCAGCCCCATTTTTATTTATTGCACTCCCATGTGCAAAAATAATCCCAGAGACAAAAAGTGTAAACCCACCGCAGGCCAAGCATTGTATGTTCCAGAGGAGTATATTAAGGCTCAGTGTTATAATGTATCCAGTTATAATAAAATACCTCATCATAATGATGGTACTGTGCCTGCTGCACCATGAGTGGTAATTAAGTCCCTTCATGATCTGACTCCTATCTACTCCTTAGCTTCCTGTCTGTCTCAGATTCATGGGCCATTAGACTCCAACCCTGAACATTTCCTTCCCCTGACTCAAACATGGAGCTCTGCCATCATGCAAAAGGCTCTTCCTCCCCACCTCCCAGCCACAGAACGCGATATACTGCTGCACACTGTCTCCATCATCTCTATCAGGAAACCTTCCAAGGACCACGCGCCTCCCCATCAACCCAGGCCTTGTTGGCTGTCCTCTTCAATATTTATTTCTTTTCTTTCTTTTCTTTTCTTTTCTTTTCATTTTTTTTTTTTTTTTTTAAGACAGAGTTTCACTCTTGTTGCCCAGGCTGGAGTGCAATGGTGCAGCGTGATCTCGGCTCACTGCAACCTCAGCCTCCCAGGTTGAAGTGATTCTCCTGCCTCAGCCTCCTGAGTAGCTTGGGTTACAGGTATACACACACCATCACACCCAGCTAATTTTACTGTCAGTAGAAATGAGGTTTCACCACGTTGGCTAGGCTGGTCTCGAACTCCTGACCTCAGGTGATCCACTCTCCTCAGCCTCCCAAAGTGCAGGGATTACAAGCATGAGCCAGTGTGCCCAGCCCTTGTCAATATTTCTGTCACGTGCAGGGTGTACTAGCCTTGAATCTGCTTTTCTATGGTCAAATACTACAAGGATTTGAGAGTAAAAAAACAGGACAAATTCATCTTTGTATCCCTGGGCTCTAGCATAAATAGAAGACATGCAACAAATGCAGGTGAGAGATGAATCAAACAATAAAATTAGTAAACTGAACAAGTGAGTTTTCTTTTAACTCATCAAATAAAAGATTAGCTAAAAACTACTAGTGTTGGTAGTTCATTTTCCTTTTCTTTCTTTTCTTTTCTTTTTTTTTTGTGGCTGCATAGTATTCTATGGTGTGTAGGTACCACATTTTCTTTATCCAGTCAACCACTCATGAACACTTCTAGTATTCTTCTATCCCAGTGTTTGGCAATGCCATATAACCAGCTGCCCATACAGGAACAAACTTGAGTTTTGTTCCTGACTTCCTCTCTTAGCCATGACATTCAGGTAAACTATAAGGCTAGTCGGCTCTCCCTAGTATCTGTAGAATTCATCAAGCCCTCTGTAGACCCATGACTTCATTGCTTGGTTCATTGGTTGATGATCATCTTTTGTCTGAATCATTCTGAAGCCCCCTTACTAGGCTTCTTGCCTCTGTCCTTTATAATTAATAATCTACATCACAACAAAAATAATTTTTCTGAAAAACACAGCTGATTATGCCACTCTCATTGCTGGAAAACTTTCAATGGCTGGAAGATCAAGTTTAAACCTTGATATGGAAAAGAATGAACTCTGTTTATCCATCCTCCCTGTACCTCACCACATAGTCTTATCCAGTCACATACAGTTACTGAGAATTCATTCATTTATTTATTTGCGTATTTATTTATACCTTCATACCCTAGTGTTTTTGTGTGCTCGGTGCTGTTTTAGTTGCTGTGAATTTTTCATTTAAGAAGATAGAAACATTTTCCTCTTCTCGTGACATTTTCCTGCCTTATGTAATAAGGAGGCAAACAAGTAAACAAACCCATGCAATCATATCAAACAGTGAGGGATGGATGAGTCTGAGTGCCATTTTAACCAGAATGATAAGGGGAGTCCTCTATAAGGTAGTATTTGAGCAGAAATTTGAATGAGAAGGACTGAGCCATGCAAATGTAGGGGAACATGGCATTCCAAGAGGGGGAGAAAAATGAGTCCCAAGACTTGGAGGCAAGTCCAGGCCAGGAGGAAGGATTTTATGGGTAGAGCATACTGAGCAAGAAGCAGAGTCATGGTAGCTGGGACTGCAAGGAAGGTGAGGGACAGGCCTTTTACACCAAATGAAATAAGGGCCTTTTACACCAAATGCAGTAAGAAGACTCATAAGATTTTAACCAAGGGAGGACAATAAGAAGTATACCTTTCAAAAGATCCTTCTGGCTGCTCTGTGAAATATAGATCTAGAAGGTGCAATATTAGACGTAAGTCACTTAGGAGGCTGGAATATTTCAGTTATTTTGCATAATTTCACCAGCTTAAAAATGTTGTAAAAGAAAACTGATTTTTGGAAGTGGAAGATCTGAGTTCAAATCCTGGTAGTGATTTCTACCATATGCTCTTGGGTCCATTGTTTCCTAGCTGAGATCAATGAAGTCTTCACTTATGAAATGATTATAATTCAGTTTTAACAGGAATAAATGATTAAGTTAAAAAAATGCATTAAAAACTACAAGGTGGCCGGGCACGGTGGCTCACGCCTGTAATCCCAGCACTTTGGGAGGCCTAGGTGGGCAGATCACAAGGTCAGGAGTTCGAGACCAGCCTGGCCAATATGGTGAATCCCCATCTCTACTAAAAATACAAAAATTAGCTGGGTGTAGTAGCGGTCACCTGTAGTCCCAGCTACTTGGGAGGCTGAGGCAGGAGAATCACTTGAACCTGGGAGGCGGAGGTTGCAGTAAGCCGAGATCGTGCCACTGCACTCCACCCTGGGCAACAAAGCAAGACTCTGGCTCAAAAAAAAAAAAAAAAATCTACAATGCATTAACTATTAGCTATTAGTTATATGACTAAAACCAATATTGTCCACTTTAAAGCTGCTACTTTGCTACATTTTTTACTCAAAATTTCCATGAATTTAAGTTTTGGCAATAGACACACTCCCACTAACATAAATTTGAGTAGTTCTCACTACACCACAACACTAAACTCTTCACCAAAGGGCACAGAATTTCAGTCAGCTGGAAGAAATAAGCTTTAGTGATCTATTGCAAAGAATGGCGACTATAAAAATTATGCATTGCATATTTGAAAACTGCTAAAAGAGTAGCTTTTAAATGTTTTAACAAGAAAAGATAATAAGAATGTGAGGTGATAGATTTGTTAATTAGCTTATTTAATCATTCCGCAATGTAAACACACATCAAGACATCACCTGGTGCTCCATAAATATATAATATATACAATCACTACGTTTCAATTAAAAATAAAATAAAAAATAAGAAAAAAAAGTAAATTGAAAAGGTCTTCCTGGTCTTACTTTACTGGAAAGCAGAGAGAATAAATGGAAACTATCCCTGTAAGCAGAAAAACCCTTTCGAAAAGTAAACTGCCATTTTCAGCCTCTGGCCTGTGTAGCTTTTAAAAATATTAGGCCATTCGGCAACTATATGCTTAGGTAACATGAATGAGAAAATGGTAAAAAGAAACATGGTCCTTGGCTCCTAAGCCATACACAATGAGTAAAAGAGGAGGCAATTACTCCTAAGGCTATGTAAGAGAAGATAATACATGCTCTAATGTGAGAAAGAAAGTGTAATTGATGGGTGAAGGGATAATACTTGCTTTAACAGGTGTCTTGAAGGGTGAAGAGAACTGGAATATGTGGAAAAGGATGTGTGTGTGGCAGGTAGATATATTCTTGGATGAGAGTGACAGTAGGAACAAAGGCATGGAGGCAAGGTTTTCACAGCAAATAGTGGCCAAGAACTTTGGGAGAAAAAAGTGCATGTTGGAAAATAATGAAAAAGAAAGTTGGCAAAGTAGGCCTGGGCTAACATGTATATAAGCCCCGAATAATAAGCTGAAGATTTTTGACCTAATTTTGTATCTGATGAAGAGGCACCGACTAGCAATTTTTGAGGAATGAAGAGATATTGGGAAGGAATCCTGAGTCAGAAGTTCAGGATAGGCAATATATGAAATAGAGCTTTATAGGCACTGTATAGTAATATTTAAGTGATCAGGGTATGTGTGTCACTGAACAATATTCAGTTATCAAGTTCATTTGAGGACTATATTTATTCCAAGTGTCTATTGCAGTGCAACAAGCCACCCTGAAATTTAGTGTTTTAAAACAAGCGTTTTATTATGCTTATGGTTTATGTGAGTCAGGAGTTTGAACAGAATACACCAAGTACGGCCTCTCTCCATGATGGCTGGAACCTCAGCTGAGGAGAGTCAAATATCTGGGGGCTGGAATCATTTGGAGACAGGGTCACCAACCCCTGGGCCACAGACTGGTACTGGCTGCTCTCCATCACTTTATTACAGCCTGAGCTCTGCCTCCTGTCAGATCAGTGGCGGCATTAGATTCTCACAGGAGGCGAACCCTATTGTGAACTGTGTGTGCAAGGGATCTGGGTTGCATGCTCCTTATAAGAATCTAATGCTTGATAATCTGTCACTATCTCCCATCACCCTCAGATGGGATCATCCAGTTGCTGGAAAACAAACTCAGGTCTCCCACTGGTTCTACATTATGGTGAGTTGTATAATTATTTCATTATATATCATAATGTAATAATAATAGAAATAAAGTACACAATAAATGTATGTGCTTGAATCATCCTGAAACCATCCCCCCACAACCTGGTCCATGGAAAAATTGTCTTTCACGAAACTGGTCCCTGGTGCCATATGTCTGAGACCTGGAATGGAAGGATGGGAAGGCTGGACACAGCTGAGACTCTTGGCTACCTTCATGAGGCCTCTCTATATAACTTGGGCTTCTCTCAACACAGCTACCTTCAGGTAGTCAAACTTCTTACTTACAAGAAGACCAGTGTTCCCGTAAACAAAACAAAACCTGGATGGACTTTTATCACCTGGCTTTGGAAGTCACATGGTGTCACTCTCACTGTTCAATATTGATTGAAGCAGACAAGCCAATTTAGACTCAAGGGGAAGAGACAAAGACCTCACCCTCAATGGGATCAATATCATTAAATTTGTGGACACGTTTAAAAACCTTCACATGTTTCACTAAGGTCACTGAATACATACAAAGTTTTTAGTAAAACATATGCTCATAAACCACATATTTTTTCATATGAAAGTCGTGGGAAGGAATGTAAGGATTTCCTTTGGACTTTAGTTTCTATTTTCTGATTAATTTTTCCCCAATATCCTTCTAGAGGTGAAGGGAAAAATATACTTGCCTGCAAAATCAAGTATCCCTATTCTTAAAGACACATATAATAATTTCATTTTGGAGTAATAGTGCTTTTCATAGTGGTTGAGAAACTAATAGCTAACACTCTTAAGTAATGACTTGTTCAAAATAGAGTAGCAATGATTTATATTGATTACAGATTGAAAGCTCACATCTTTAAAATGTACATACTCTTACTATCTGTTTTAGAAATAAGCAGAGTGATGAAGCTGAGAGATGTAGCCCAGCAAAAAAAAAAGAAAAAAAAGAAAAAAAGAAATGAAATGAAAGAAAAGAAATAGAAGGAGAGGAAGTTGGGACACCTATGTCCTAGATATTAAACCAGGTGATCCTCTAGTTGTTGAATCTGAAACTGAGGTAGAGAACACCTTTCCTTTCGACTGCTTGGGGTTTATTATTAGGGCTGGGTTTGGAGTGATAAAATTGATCTTAAAGGAAATATATTTATATGAGTATAATGATTCTTTGTGCAAAAATGTTGATCCTAGACCAATGGCCTTCAAACTTTTCTGTATTTTAAATAAAAATTAATGGTAAAAATAAAATAGAGCAAGCAGAAGAATGCTTAATAGGATACAAACAAAAGCAGCTTTCTTCTTTCCTGTTACCTGCTCTGACCCAAAATGTCCAGGCTTTCTCAGTAATTTTTAAGGTGTTCACAAATAGTCTCATTAAAAATGCCCAGTTCATACCATTATTTCATGGTGTTAATATCTCATCCAATTTAAACCTTCTCCACACTAGGTTGGGCCCAACCGAAATCGAGGTGAGTTTGCTGTAAGAATAGGAATGAGAATGAGGACCTGGGGGAGGCAAGGAGAGGGAGGTACACAATTACCTTTTCTACCCTTTCCCCAACTCCGTCTTCCCATCTTAGCCTACTCACCGTGCTGCCTTTTGGTGCTCCAGGAATGGGCAGAAGAGCAAGGGGAAATTCAAGTGAAGAAGCTTTTGAATAAGAGAGTTGTAGCTTTTATTAGTGCTCTCTGGGCGAACTGTAATTCTCTTTTTTCTTTTGCTTTTTTTCTTTTCTTTTTTTTTTTTTTTTTTTGAGATGGAGTTTCGCTCTTGTTGCCCAGGCTGGAGTTCAATGGCATGATCTCGGCTCACCACAACCTCCACCTCCTGGGTTCAAGCGATTCTCCTGCCTCAGCCTCCCAAGTAGCTGGGATTACAGGCATGTGCCACCATACTTGGCTAATTTTTTTTTTTAATTTTATTTTTAGTAGAGACTGGGTTTCTCCATGTTGGTCAGGCTGCTCTTGAACTCCCGACCTCAGGTGATCCACCTGCCTCGGCCTCCCAAAGTGCTGGGATTACAGGCATGAGCCACCACGCTGGACCTGAACTGTAATTCTACATTACTGTTCTTCTGTCTTTTGAGCACTTTTGCAGGTTTCCTGGAGCTTCCTCCCGCTAGTGCTCTGTGAACGCAGTTTGCTGATATAGGCATGCTCTCTTGGGCTGTCTACTTAAACTTTCCTCAGTGTCTGCTGTCCTGTCTTCCACACCTTACATGAGGCCCATGTGGGTAAAGTCTAACTCAAGGATCCCCAACAAAAGCCAGAGGGAAGGAAAAACTCACATCTAGGCTGTCATGGTGGGAAAGTGACCCATTCCTAATCCAGGACGCCCTCTTCACTCTGCTATCACAGGCCACTCTTGCCAGCTTCACCTTTATAGAATTATTTTGACTTCTACTTCTATGTTTCTTAAACTTTATTTATTTATTTATTTATTTATTTATTTATTTATTTATTTTTTGAGTCAGAGTCTCGCTCTGTCACCCAGGCTGGAGTGCAGTGGCACGATCTGGGCTCACTGCAAGCTCTGCCTACCAGGTTCACGCCATTCCCCTGCCTCAGCCTCCTAAGGAGTTGGGACTACAGGCACCCGCCACCACGCCCGGCTAATTTTTTGTATTTTTAGTAGAGACGGGGTTTCATTGTGTTAGCCAGGATGGTCTCAATCTCTTGACCTCGTGATCCATCCACCTCAGCCTCCCAAAGTGCTGGGATTACAGGCGTAAGCCACCGCGCTCGGCCCTCTTAAACTTTCTTTTTTTTTTTTTTTTTTAAAAAGAGATGCCTATCATTCTCAGCAAACTATCGCAAGGACAAAAAACCGAACACCGCATGTTCTCACTCATAAGTGGGAATTGAACAATGAGAACACATGGACACAGGAAGGGGAACATCACACACCAGGGCCTGTTGTGGGGTGGGGGAAGGGGGGAGGGATAGCATTAGGAGATATACCTAATGTTAAATGACGAGTTAATGGGTGCAGCACACCAACATGGCACATGTATACATATGTAACAAACCTGCACGTTGTGCACATGTACCCTAAAACTTAAAGTATAATTAAAAAAAAAAGATGCCTAGAAACCACTGAGTGTGTTTCTTTGAAATCCTTCTGGTTGATTGGAGAACACGAAGGAAGGCAGGGAAGACACCAATCTTTCAATATTTCTATCCTTAAAGAAATCCTCTCTATAATCTCACTAGTGGATTTCCCAACTCCCTCTCATATATTCCTCACCTGGGTAATGAGCCAATGGTTACTAGTCAGGTTTCACTATCTCTTGGCCTAGTCTAGTCTACAAACATATCTGATCTGGAACCTACTTTTTCAGCTTTTTGAGTCTAGGCCTAAAAACCCTTGAGACTGCACTTAATATTCTGATATATTTACTAACATATTCACTAATGTGTCACCTTTTATAATTCTGTTTTAACTTATTTGCTATGAAAGCTTTCCTGAAGATTCATTGAATATATTCTATGTGTAGCAATAGCTCTTCAGCCTTACTCTGCAATCTCTCTCTCTCTCTCTCTCAATTCTAATCAGATAATCTGCTTCATCAGTTATTATCCTTACAGTTTTATTCTCCCACTGAAAGCTCTTATTTTTCTTCCTTCACATACTAGGTTGAGAGCTTTTGTTGTTAGCTTCCTTTTTTGGATACGTTGTTTCTTTAGTAGCTCCTTCGGTTGCTCTTCTTACATCCATTATTGAAATGCTATCTAGCAAATTCATATTTAAGCTAAGAAAGGTTGGAAAAAAATCTGTATTTAATTTATTCGACAGTGTAACAAAAATGGCTTATTCTAACACATATCTCTTCAAAATTTCAGCAATACTTTCTCTGTGTCTGACAACACTATTTACAAACAAAATAATGCATTTTAGGCCAGGCGCAGTGCCTCAAGCCTGTAATCCCAGCACTTTGGGAAGCTGAGGCGGGCGGATCACCTGAGGTCAGGAGTTCGAGACCAGCCTGGCCAACATGGCGAAACCCCATCTCCACTAAAAATACAAAAACTAGCTGGGTGTGGTGGTGGGTGCCTGTAATCCCAGCTACTTGGGAGGCTGAGGCAAGAGAATCACTTGAACCCTGGAGGCAGAGGTTGCAGTGAGCCGAGATTACACCACTGCACTCCAGCCTGGGTGACAGAGCAAGACTCCATCTAAAAATAAAAATAATAATAATAATAATAATAATAATAATGCATTTTTAGTTTGTCACCAAATCCTTTGCCACACATTATCTCAGTCATTTTTACTATGAAAGAAAGAATTAATGTTCTCTCAGAAGGAATTTTTTTTTTGTCTTTCACAAGTAAAAGACTTCAAGAAAATATCTGAATGATTACTTTAAAAATACCTTGCTGGCTGGGCACGGTGGCTCATGCCTGTAATCCCAGCACTTTGGGAGGCTGAGGCGGGTGGATCACGAGGCCAGGAGTTCAAGACCAGCCTGGCCAGCATGGTGAAATCCCATCTCTACTAAAAATATATATAAAAAAAAATTAGCTGGGCATGGTGGCATGCACCTGTAGTCTCAGCTACTCGGGAGGCTGAGGCAGGAGAATTGCTTGAACCTGGCAGGCAGAGGTTGTAGTGAGCCCAGATCGTGCCATTGCACTCTGGCCTGTGTGACAGCACTTTAGGAGGCCGAGGCGGGCGGATCACGAGATCAGGAGATTGAGACCATCCCGGCTATCACGGTGAAACCCCGTTTCTACTAAAAATACAAAAAATTAGCCAGGCGTGGTGGCAGGCGCCTGTAGTCCCAGCTACTTGGGAGGCTGAGGCAGCAGAATGGTGTGAACCCGGGAGGCGGAGCTTACAGTGAGCTGAGATCGCGCCACTGCACTCCAGCCTGCGCCACAGAGCAAGCAAGACTCCATCTCAAAAAAAAAAAAAAAAAAAAAAAAAAACCTTGCTAATTGTGATGGCTTTATTTTAATATTATTACTCATGTCTCAAGGCAAAATAAACACGTAAAGGAAATTTCATCTGTATTTCAAATGATCTCTTTCACCAATTCTTATTAAATCTGAAAAGATGGTATTTAACCTAGTATTGTGGTTAATAACAGTTTTATACTTAAAGAAGAACAGGCAAAGTGTCAGATTGACCATTCTCTTGTTTTCCAACTGGGCTTTCGTAATTAATGTTATCTTGAGTTTAAGGATATATATAATAATATTTTGTAAACCACATCATCAGTTTAGGGAGGTTGGTTTCTTTAAACTTTAGACCATTATCTGTATAAATCCACCTAGCATAGTTCACATAAACTTCTATGTTTCCATACGCTAAAAGTGAGGGGAAAAAATGAAGGCATCACTTGACCTCTCTGTTCTGTGAAACTGCCACACTTCCTTCAGGGTCACGTCATAGCACATCTCGCATAATGGCCTGCCATGTGGACCTTATGAGGGACCAGAGTCATTCCATATCTTCAATATCAGTAAAGTCTTTTTCCTTATTTTGGGATGATATTCTTTTATATTTTCTTTGTGCTCGCCACACATTTGCACATTCCCTGATGTACACACATCGCACATTTAAGGGTTGTGTTCTGGACCAAACTGCATCCAGAGATGGGGAATTCACCTCCAAAGAAAAGAATTATTCTAACAAATTTGAAAGCTCTAACTGCTACTAATTCCGTCCTCGTATTAATCCAAAATCTATTTACTCTTTTTTTTTTTTTTTTTTTTTGAGAGGGAGTCTTGCTCTGTCTTGCTCTGTTGCCAGGCTGGAGTGCAGTGGTGGAATCTCGGCTCACTGCAACCTCTGCCTCCTGGGTTCAAGCGATTCTCCTGCCTCAGACTCCTGAGTAGCTGGGACTACAAGCGTGAGTCACCACGCCCAGCTAGTTTTTGTATTTTTAGTAGAGACAGGGTTTTACCATGTTGGCCAGGATGGTCTCGATCTCTTGACTTCATGATCCACCTGCCTCAGCCTCCCAAAGTGCTGGGATTACAGGCGTGAGCCACCACGCCCGGCTTATTTACTCAATTATTCACCTGCTGGTCCTAGGATAGCCAAAGGTAGTAGACAAGGAAGAAGAGCCCCTTAAGTATTTGATTTTTCATTTTCTAATGCAGATCATTTGGGTTGCCAAATGATTTATATGGTCAACACAATTGTAAACCTCAATGAAACAGAAATTGGTTTCAACTATTTCTTAAATCATGGTCTAATTAGACAAATAGAGTTCAAATACTATGCTACTACCAAATCACAATTTGTTGACAAAATCTGTCGCATCACCAAATTTACCAGTAGAGAAATTTCATAATTCTCCAGGGCGTTTCTTCTGAACTGACTCGCAGATATTCTGAAACTTACATCTCTTTAGCTCTTTTGATTCAGCTGGAAAGAACTCGCTTCTTCCCTGTACAGACAGTGCTTGTACTAAACATTCCTTATTTCCATGACATGAACTGATGCTCTCTTTGAGGTAAAAGTTTGTTCTTGTTCCGTTTGAAGTTAAACTGAGATCAGGGAAGAGAATCAGTTGGAGAGTTCCATTATGAGTACCAGGTAAAAGGAAACACCTCAACCTATATCATCTAAAAAACTTCCCAAACTGGCCATCGTGTAATAATAGAAACAACCCGTGAAAAGCTTGCTACTTCTGGTACAGTGATTTTAGCCTCTGAACAATACATACGAGAACGGTGAAAAGTGCATAGTGAAAAACCCCACACACTCAGCAAATGTGATCCTAGAGTTAGCATTGTTAGTGATTTCGTCCTCATTAAGAGTTTGTTTGGGTCTGATAGACTTTTCAAAGCACAAAATATTTCTCATTAATTTTGTCTTTTCTTTCTTAAAGATAAATTCTCAGCACACTGGATTCTCTTTGAGTGGCCTGAGAGGGAAATCCCCAGTGGGTTTTCAGTAGCCATTTTAAAAACAGGGTCTGTTTGCATGTAAGCAGCAAGGCCACATAAATGTTATGATTATACATCTTTTACACCTCACAAAAAATTAGAATGACCTTATAAAATTCTCCAAGACTGGACATTTTTAAGAGTGAACGGGTATAGTAATAACAAGAAGGTAGGAAAAGAGGCATAAACTCGAACTGTCCTGGGCAAACCTGGAGGTATGCTCTTCCCATGTAAAGTGTGTGACAGCCAGCAACACACAGCCAGTGGGTCCCAGACTTTCTACAAAGTGTTTCCTCCAACTATCTGTGCATCACAGTCCCCTGGACTGCTTGTTAAATTAACCAGGCCTCACTTCCTAGATGGTTACATTATCCATATTTTCAAGTTTCTGTCTGATTCTGATCACATTATTCAACTCAAAACTTGTGTAGGCTATTTCCCTCTGAAATCCTTCTACACTTGTGGCACACAATGGACTTGTCTATGTGCATATTTAGCCTATTCACCCTTTATATATATTGAAATTTAAGATGTATATTTTCACATTTTAACATCTTGAAAATCCAGAAATATCTTACAGTTGACGACATCTTAAAATCAGAACATAATTTTCAGTGCCCATGGATTCAGGAATTTGGTTTGTTGTTCCTGGAGGCCTGACTGGACAATTGTAGACCATCAATGTTGATGTTTAAGTCAATCAACAGTTTGAGAATCATATGAGGAAAGAATATGATACCCAGTTGTTATCTGATGATTTTTTATTGACACCTTCAGATACAAGTAAGAACAGAGGCATCAAATTTTGCATAATGGGTGTCAGCAAGTTTGAGAAAAATTTCCTGGAGGAAATACTGCTGTGTTTTTACAAAATACCTCAGTATGTGTCAATTCAGTGGCACAGCATTTTCTGTGGAAAAAACTCAGGCATTGATGCCTCAGAATTGAAGAATGATTCACAACAACTGGACAAAGGATGAAGAAGTTTTAAGAATATCTTAACACAATTATTTAACTTAATCTTTCCTTTTTATGTGCAAGAATGTTAGGATAAATATCTAAGTCTAAAAGAGCTCTTTCAATTAAAAATAAATTTGAAGTGACAAAAAGTATATGCTTTTGGTTATTTGGCAGATTTTAAAACATTTTCTAGTAGTTCATTAAAATATTCTGTTGTAATTAATAATGTCTGAGACTTGATGACACATGGTGTGTAACTACTCAAAAAAAAAAAGTTAAATTCTTTGGCAATTTTGCTTGCTATTCCATTCTGTCAACATGTGCCCTAGAATGAATATATAACAAGGAACACTGATATCAGTTAATTTCAGTTCCACTGCACTGCTCATAATAGAACATCTCCCCACAAAGTACGTGAATTCAGTGTTAAATATTTTTTAAAACATGTTCCTTTAAAATGAGCAAAGTAATTATCTGAAGCTCTAGCTAGAGTGTTCTATGTTAGAAAAAAATTACCTGGGTGATTCAATGAATTTTGAAGGGCAGTTCTGAGTCTGCACAATAACTAGAACAAGCCAGTGCCTGTTTAAGATGGTCTCCTCAGCACAACCAGACAACCACAAGCACAAAAAAGAAATAACAGCGCTCCCTGTCAGATTTAGTAGGATGTTTGCAAAGTTGTTAACTACCGAAAGCATCCAGGAAGAAAAGATCTGGGCTTGCATAGGTAGGAGTTTTGAACTGTGCCCCCCTCTTCCACAACTTTTCTTTCTAGTTGTGTTTCTTTTCAGCCTGTACAGGGAAGCCCAGCTGCCAACAGACAGCAGGCTGAACGGTAGCCAGCTGCTTTATAACTGTGTTAGCCAGAAGCCCTCATGAGAAATATTTTTCCTGGAAAATAAATTATAACATGTCTAAGTGGTGCCTGACAAAGCTAAACAGGAGGCATGCTGCTCTATTGCAAATTCATCTGCAGTCTCTGGGTAGAGAGACAAATAAAAGCACTTCATCAAAATCAGTCACAGAAACCCAGGAATACCCATAGGAGACCACTAAACTCTAAATACCAATCAATTTCTCCAACTTTTTTTGTCAAACTTGCAAGTCCTTTTAAGCAGTGTCTTCTTGAACTGCCAGGCAGCAGCTGGCTGGTATGGAGGGAGATCAGAAGGAGTACAGTTTGGGGGCCTTCTATGACACAGCGGTTTATCTAGCTGAGGACACTTATTGCTGAAGGGCTTATTTGGCCTTAGAGCATCAATTAAGGTTAAAGCTAAAAGCCTGCTCTTACTTCTTTATATTCACAATGTCTCTGCTTAAAGAAGTTTACCTAAATACACCAGGACACAATATAAATAGAAAATGTTTTAGGAAGCTACCCCTCTCTGACCACAAGTAAAAAACTGCAGCTCTGCAAGTAACTCAATACACAGCCTGTACTTAGTGTTAGATCATTTAAAAAATATTTAACTTAACATGTAACTCAAATTTAACTGAACATGGCGTCTGCACTTAGTGTTTGATATTTGATTATTTGCTCATCCCTGACAACCACAACCACAGTTTCACTGGGGCAAGGTATTAATGCTAATACCTTAGCTAGCCCATATTGACCTTGATATAATTACTATTTATGATGCACCTATTCTTCCTTTTTTTTTTTTTTAAACAATGTCTCACTTTTTCGCCCAGGCTGGAGTGCAATGGCGCAATCTCCACTCACTGCAACCTCCGCCTTGTGGGTTCAAGCAATTCTGCCTCAGCCTCCTGAGTAGCTGGGATCACAGGCATGTGCCAACAAGCCCGGCTGATTTTTGTATTTTTAGTAGAGATGGGGTTTCGTCATGTTGGCCAAGCTGGTCTCAAATTCCTGATCTCAGGTGATCCACCGCCTCGGCCTCCCAAAGTGCTGAGATTTTATATTGCAGAGATGCATGATAATCTCCACCCTTGGAGAATTCATGATTTTATTCAGGAATCTGATAGTCATAAAGGATGGCTTTGCTCCAGGCTATACAACTGACTAGTTGTGTAACTGTGGGAAAGTCACTTAGCTCTTATTATTAAGGTGAGTTTGGCATAAGAGTTACATATAAAGAAAGTCATTACGGTCAATACACTGGAAGAGTAAAAGAATGGAAGAAGGAAAGACAAACTTGGAGCCATCAAAATATAAGAAGCATGAGTCAAGGTGAGATTAAGGATGGAGAAAAATGGGTGGATTTATTATGTTTTTTTTTTGAGAAAGACTCAAATGTTCTTCTAATACCTCACTTGCCAGGCTAGGGATGTCCTGCTAAATTTACATTGATTCTGTGGAGCTGGTGAGGTTATCAGCTGAGGGACTGAAATATATACAGCTCTTTTGTAGCTAGGTGTGTGATCTTCAAATATCATTTAATCTCACCAGAGACTGGTATTCTTTATAATGAAATAGAGGTAATATTCCTGTGACCCACCTCTCTCTTAAGAATATACAAATAAGGCCAGGCGCAGAGGATCACGCCTGTAATCCCAGCACTTTGGGAGGCCAAGGCAGGCAGATCCTTGAGGTCAGGACTTCAAGACCAGCCTGGCCAATATGGTGAAACCCCATCTCTATTAAAAAATACAAAAATTAGCTGGACATGGTGATAGGTGACTGTAATCTGAGCTACTCGGCAGGCTAAGGCAGGAGACTCACTTGAACCCAGGAGGTGGAGGTTGCAGTAAGCCAAAATTGTGCCACTGCACTCCAGCCTGGGCAACAGAGTGAGACGCCATCTCAAAAAAAAAAAAAAAAAAAAAAAAAGAATATAATCGGTGTAAAAATGGTTGGAAAGAAAAGCTGCTATTTTGGATGTACAAGGCAATGTTATTATTTGCTGAAAGGTTTCAGGTACTAAGGATTCAGGTAAATGGTCCACTCAGCATTTACATATTTTCCTCTAATAAATAAACCCATGCATAATTTACTTAATAGAAAACTAAAGACAATAAATTAGAAGAGCTAGAAAAATATGACTATTTTCTTAAATGCATCACATTCAAATTAGAGAAATCTAAGGCCCAATATCACAAGGTCAAAGTAATCTTACTCAAGCCTGACTTCAAATTGTCTTAATTTACAAAATAGGTTCATCCATGAGAGTCTTTCCAAATAAGGCAATGCTAGAGAAATATCTAGGAAATTGGATATAGTGTTTACATGTTGATAAACTACTTTTGCCTGGATTGTAATGGATTTATTCATTTTTCTTCATAGCAAATAAAAAATAAAAATATGTTTTAGTATTGGGAGGATGTATGTGTCGAGGAATTTATCCATTTCTTCTAGATTTTCTAGTTTATTTGCGTAGAGGTGTTTATGGTGTTCTCTGATGGTAGTTTGTATTTCTGTGGGATCGGTGGTGATATCCCCTTTATCATTTTTTATTGCATCTATTTGATTCTTCTCTCTTTTCTTCCTTATTAGTCTTGCTTGCGGTCTATCAATTTTGTTGATCTTTTCAAAAAACCAGATCCTGGATTCATTGATTTTTTTGAAGGGTTTTTTGCTTCTCTATTTCCTTCAGTTCTGCTCTGATCTTAGTTATTTCTTGCCTTCTGCTAGCTTTTGAATGTGTTTGCTCTTTCTTTTCTAGCTCTTTCAATTGTGATGTTAGGGTGTCGATTTTAGATCTTTCCTGCTTTCTCTTGTGGGCATTTAGTGCTATAAATTTCCCTCTACACACTGCTTTGAATGTGTCCCAGAGATTCTGGTATGTTGTGTCTTTGTTCTCATTGGTTTCAAAGAACATCTTTATTTCTGCCTTCATTTCATTATTTACCCAGTAGTCATTCAGGAGCAGGTTGTTCAGTTTCCATGTAGTTGAGCGGTTTTGAGTGAGTTTCTCAATCCTGAGTTCTAGTTTGATTGCACTGTGGTCTGAGAGACAGTTTGTTATAATTTCTGTTCTTTTACATTTGCTGAGGAGTGCTTTACTTCCAACTATGTGGTCAATTTTGGGGTAGGTGTGGTGTGGTGCTGAAAAGAATGTATATTCTGTTGATTTGGGGTGGAGAGTTCTGTAGATGTCTATTAGGTCTGCTTGGTGCAGAGCTAAGTTCAATTCCTGGGTATCCTGGTTAACTTTCTGTCTCGTTGATCTGTCTAATGTTGACAGTGGGGTGTTAAAGTCTCCCATTATTAATGTGTGGGAGTCTAAGTCTCTTTGTAGGTCACTAAAGACTTGCTTTATGAATCTGGGTGCTCCTGTATTGGGTGCATATATATTTAGGACAGTTAGCTCTTCTTGCTGAATTGATCCCTTTACCATTATGTAATGGCCTTCTTTGTGTCTTTTGATCTTTGTTGGTTTAAAATCTGTTTTATCCGAGACTAGGATTGCAACCCCTGCCTTTTTTTGTTTTCCATTTCCTTGGTAGATATTCCTCCATCCCTTTATTTTGAGCCTATGTGTGTCTCTGCACGTGAGATGGGTTTCCTGAATACAGCACACTGATGGGTCTTGACTCTTTATCCAATTTGCCAGTCTGTGTCTTTTAATTGGAGCATTTAGCCCATTTACATTTAAAGTTAATATTGTTATGTGTGAATTTGATCCTGTCATTATGATGTTAGCTGGTTGTTTTGCTCGTTAGTTGATGTAGTTTCTTCCTAGCCTTGATGGTCTTTACAATTTGGCATGTTTTTGCAGTAGCTGGTAGCTGTTGTTCCTTTCCCTGTTTAGTGCTTCCTTTAGGAGCTCTTTTAGGGCAGGCCTGGTGGTGACAAAATCTCTCAGCATTTGCTTGTCCGTAAAGTATTTTATTTCTTCTTCACTTATGAAGCTTAGTTGGCTGGATATGAAATTCTGGGTTGAAAATTCTTTTCTTTAAGAATGTTGAATATTGGTCCCCACTGTCTTCTGGCTTGTAGAGTTTCTGCCGAGAGATCAGCTGTTAGTCTGATGGGCTTCCACAGGAAGAAGCTGAATCTCTGAATAGACCAATAACAGGCTCTGAAATTGAGGCAATAATCAATAGCTTACCAACCAAAAAAAGTCCAGGACCAGATGGATTCACAGCCAAATTCTACCAGAGGTACAAAGAGGAGCTGGTACCATTCCTTCTGAAACTATTCCAATCAATAGAAAAAGAGGGAATCCTCCCTAACTCATTTTGTGAGGTCAGCATCATCCTGATACCAAAGCCTGGCAGAGACACAACCAAAAAAGAGAATTTTAGACCAATATCCTTGATGAACATCGATGCAAAAATCCTCAATAAAATACTGGCAAACCGAATCCAGCAGCACATCAAAAAGCGTATCCACCATGATCAAGTGGGCTTCATCCCTGGGATGCAAGGCTGGTTCAACATAGGCAAATCAATAAATGTAATCCAGCATATAAACAGAACCAAGGACAAAAACCACTTGATTATCTCAACAGATGCAGAAAAGACCTTTGACAAAATTCAACAACCGTTCATGCTAAAAACTCTCAATAAATTAGATACTGATGGGTCGTATCTCAAAATAATAACAGCTATCTATGACAAACCCATAGCCAATATCATACTGAATGGGCAAAAACTGGAAGCATTCCGTTTGGAAATGGGCACAAGACAGGGATGCCCTCTCTCACCACTCCTATTCAACATAGTGTTGGAAGTTCTGGCCAGGGCAATCAGGCAGGAGAAGTAAATAAAGGGTATTCAATTAGGAAAAGAAGAAGTCAAATTGTCCCTGTTTGCAGGTGACATGATTGTATATCTAGAAAACCCCATCTTCTCAGCCCAAAATCTCCTCAAGCTGATAAGCAATTTCAGCAAAGTCTCAGGATACAAAATCAATGTACAAAAATCACAAGCATTCCTATACACCAATAACAGACAAACAGAGAGCCAAATCATGAGTGAACTCCCATTCACAATTGCTTCAAAGAGAATAAAATACCTAGGAATCCAACTTACAAGGGATGTGAAGGACCTCTTCAAGGAGAACTACAAACCACTGCTCAATGAAATAAAAGAGGATACAAACAAATGGAAGAACATTCCATGCTCATGGGTAGGAAGAATCAATATCGTGAAAATAGCCATAGTGCCCAAGGTAATTTATAGATTCAATGCCATCCCCATCAAGCTACCAATGACTTTCTTCACAGAATTGGAAAAAAACTACTTTAAAGTTCACATGGAACCACAAAAAGAGCCCGCATCGCCAAGTCAATCCTAAGCCAAAAGAACGAAGCTGGAGGCATCATGCTACCTGACTTCAAACTATACTACAAGGCTACAGTAACCAAAACAGCATGGTACTGGTACCAAAACAGAGATAGAGACCATTGGAACAGAACAGAGCCCTCAGAAATAATGCCGCATATCTCCAACTATCTGATCTTTAACAAACCTGACAAAAACAAGAAATGGGGAAAGGATTCCCTATTTAATAAATGGTGCTGGGAAAACTGGCTAGCTCTATGTAGAAAGCTGAAACAGGATCCCTTCCTTACACCTTATACAAAAATTAATTCAAGATGGATTAAAGACTTAAATGTTAGACCTAAAACCATAAAAACCCTAGAAGAAAACCTAGGCAATACCATTCAGGACATAGGCATGGGCAAGGACTTCATGTCTAAAACATCAAAAGCAATGGCAACAAAAGCCAAAATTGACAAATGGGATCTAATTAAACTAAAGAGCTTCTGCACAGCAAATGAAACTACCATCAGAGTGAACAGGCAACCTACCTACAGAATGGGAGAAAATTTTTGCAACCTACTCATCTGACAAAGGGCTAATATCCAGAATCTACAATGAACTCAAACAAATTTACAAGAAAAAAACAAACAACCCCATCAAAAAGTGGGCAAAGGATATGGACAGACACTTCTCAAAAGAAGACATTTATGCAGCCGACAGACACATGAAAAAATGCTCATCACTGGCCATCAGAGAAATGCAAATCAAAACCACAATGAGATACCATCTCACACCGGTTATAATGACGATCATTAAAAAGTCAGGAAACAACAGGTGCTGGAGATGATGTGGAGAAATACAAAAACTTTTACACTGTTGGTGGGACTGTAAACTAGTTCAACCATTGTGGAAGTCAGTGTGGCGATTCCTCAGGGATCTAGAACTAGAAATACCATTTGACCCAGCAATCCCATTACTGGCTATATACCCAAAGAATTATAAATCATGCTGCTATAAAGACACATGCACACATATGTTTATTGTGGCGCTATTCACAATAGCAAAGAGTTGGAACCAACCTAAATGTCCAACAACAACGATAGACTGGATTAAGAAAATGTGGCACATGTACACCATGGAATGCTATGCAGCCATAAAAAATGCTGAGTTCATGTCCTTTGTAGGGACATGGATGAAACTAGAAACCATCATTCTCAGCAAACTAGTGCAAGGACAAAAAAGCAAACACTGCATGTTCTCACTCATAGGTGGGAATTGAACAATGAAAACACATGGACACAGGAAGGGGAACATCACACACTGGGGACTGTTGTGGGGTGGGGGGCAGGGGGAGGGATAGCATTAGGAGATATACCTAATGCTAAATGACGAGTTAATGTGTGCAGCACCCCAGCATGGCACATGTATACATATGTAACAAACCTGCACATTGTGCACATGTACCCTAAAACTTAAAGTATAATAATAATAAAATAAAAAATATTTGTGTTTTATACTATAAAGTAATGTGGGTGATAAAGGTCAAAATATATGTTCTTAACATGTAATGTGAACCACTTGGCATAGGCAACATGAAATAGACTGAGGGGTCCTTGTTATATGAGCATAATTAATTAACAACAATAAAAAATAACAAAAGTTATTTCAAGCAGTGAGAAAACATTTTGATTCCAGTTTCATCTTGTTAAATAAAGCATAAAGTCATGAAAAAGTTGCTTTTTTTTAGATATAAGTCAAAGAAGAAATTGTCATCTGGTTTTCAGGAGAATGTCTCAATTGCAGATTTCTTAATTAAGTGGTTTGTTTCTTAGAAAGTAAAAGTTTATAAACTCCATCAATTATTTAACATGTATTTTATGACTCACATAGCTGTCTCATTTTAAAAATTCATCTATTTCTGGTAAGATCAATAGTATATGTCTCTAATATATCTTACTTTAAAAGTAGGAAACTCACTGAAAGTTTTATGATTAAAACGAAGTTTGAGGAAGCTATTTAAAACATGCTTCATAGATGATGGTTCCATGGGTTATCCTCAAACCCACATATTCTTTTCCTTCATGAAATTCATTTATATGAGTAGAAAAATATACTATCGTAAAAGCCCTGGAACTCTAGAAGAATTTCATGAGAATTATGGCATAGAATGGGTTTAACATAGCCAGTTGCTTTATATTAATAAAACTCATTTGTTTCATAGATACAGGAACGTTTCCCACTACCTAAATTAAAAAAGCATGGTTTAGATTGAGAAGGATTGAGACCAGAAAATGGAAAGTCATTAGTAACCCTGCAGCATACTCCAAATCTCTGGTGTTTGCTGTCTCTGCTTATTGTTGTTATGTCACCATAGAGTGGGTTTCTCTTTTTTCTTTTCTGTTGGGTTTGGTTTCGCTTTGTTTCTTATTTTTGTTTTTCCCTAATGAGCTTGATTGCTTGTTCAGAACAGGAATTTTGCTGCTTTTAGCACCATCAGCCAACTGAATTGAACCCCAATGACCTAACTCAAAAATATCTGAAAAGAAAACTTGGTTACTCCAGTGTGGGTTAAGTATCTATTGCACATAATTGGTTTTGGCCAGGTAGGTGAGCTTATGTAGTCCAAACCCGTAGATGTAAATGAGAAGAGGGGAAATTTCTTAAAAGCCATAATTGGGCTGGACAGGTGTCCTAGAGGTTTTCTACTGCATTGTTAATTCACCAAAGCTTATTGTCATGGGATGTCAATATTAAATTGCTGGTGGCTGAGAGTCAGGGCTATTTCCTGGTCTGTTTTAACTTCTCTGTGATAAGTGTATTATGCATATGAAAATGTGCACTTCAAAGCATGAAAGGCAGTCTTCCCATTTGGGACCACATTTTAAATGTAGCCAATCAACAATCAACTAATGTTAGTTCTTATACATTGACTATGGTTCATATCTGGAGATAATAATCAAATACAGCATTTCAATTAGCAGAATAAGCAGGATGAATTTGACTCCTAAATAATTGCAGCAGATCTTTAAATAAGAAATTCTGTAGAGAAAGATTATGTGAGGAAGAAGGGAGAATCTTTAATTTTTTTATAGTACATATTTCAAATATCTGCCTAAATGCTTGAGTGTAAAGCAATTTAATTCAGTTCTAAATATTTGTAAATCATTTCCGAAGTCCAGACTATCCATTATAGTTATAGCTAACATTTATTGAAATTACACCTGTACATGAAGTAAGGTGCTTCCTTTTTCATGTATTATTTCATGACATTCTGAGATAGGTTCATTATACTTGTGTTTAATCAGAACATTAAAAAGTTGCCTGTGAAAGGCCATGAGACTAGGGGATAGAAAAGCAAAATGCTACCCCAATTCTACCTGAGACCAGAGTTCATGGTGTTTTGTTTTTGTTTTAACTACTTACTGATATTAAAAATAATTCAGTACAGAGTTATATCCATTCTTTTTTCTCATTAGATTCTTTCTGTTAATTATTTCTAACATAGTATTTAATTTCTAACATTTTGTCGTATGTCAAAAAATTATTCAGATAGCTTTTACTCATTTTTTTTGCAAATGTGTTTTTCCTATGAACACAAATCTTATCATAACTAAAGATTATATACATCAAGATTTGTGGGATTGATGGTGAATTTAAAATTATGAAACTAGAGCTATAAACTTTAGTAACATGTCTCATCTCACATAGAAATGTAAAAGAAAAATGTTTTTAAAATTAGAGATGTGAAGATGGAGAAACAAATTATAAGATACTTTTACAGGGCTGGGCACAGCGGCTCATGCCTGTAATCCGAGCACTTTGGGCGGCCGAGGCAGGAGGATCCCTTGAGCCCAGGAGATCGAGATCAGCCTGGGAAACATAGCAAGACCCTGTCTCAATAGAATAAAATAAAATACTTTTACAGAATGTCTTTCATCTCCATGTATGTATGTGTAAGTGTCTTTCTCTATACCTTATAAATTATAGTTGACATGGTTAATACCTAAAGCTCAGTCACCTTATCAGTTTCTGTTTCTGGTCTTTAAGATTTGTTCCTTTCTCCACCATGCCTCACTATGTGTCACCAAACTTAATTCAGCATCAGTGCTCCAAATACTCCATCCTACAATTAGAGAAACCACTGAATTCCGATATCCTCCACCCAAATGGTAATGAAGATTGGAGAAAGTGACGCCCATGCATAGCGGAGAAGTGGATTGCAGATATAACAAGGTATACTCAAAAAAAAAAAGGCGTAATGTATGTTAGCCTGGGCTAGGGGGGCATCAGTTACAGAGCCTCCTTTGAGAGTTTTGCAGCTTAGTGAGGAGTTTACATGATTATTTATTTATTTATTTTTTAGACAGAGTCTCACTCTGTTGCCCAGGCTGGAGTGCAGTGGCATGATCTTGGCTCACTGCAACCTCCACCTCCCAGGATCAAGCCGTTCTCCTGCCTCAGCCTCCCGAGTAGCTAGGATTACAGGTGCACACCACCACGCCCAGCTAATTTTTATATTTTAAGTAGAGATGGGTTTTCACCATGTTGGCCAGGCTGGTCTTGAACTCCTGACCTCAGGTAATCCACCCTCCTCGCCCTCCCAACGTGCTGGGATTACAGGCGTGAGCCACCTTGCCCGGCCTTAAATGATTTTTGAGAAACAAATTACTGAGACACTTAAAAAAGAAATGAAATTAAAGTTGATAACATTAGTTCAGAATAAGCATGTTCTTTAAGTGGTATAAACTGTTTGTTTATTTACAAAAAGAATGTAAAATACAAATGTTTGTTTTTGATATTTTATATGGATTTCTATTATGCAGGAGCACAGTAAACTGAGATGTAAAACACCTTATTCAACAACGAGGATGCTGACTCAAAAGCAAAAGTTGAAGCACATTATGAATGAATGTCAAAAGGGAAAAATCTAAAGCTAACATAAAAGAGTGCAACTACATCAAATTGGATAAGGAATAGTATTTTATAGCCAATTAATGAATATTTAAAGGACATCAACCTCATCTCTTTGAAACACATATGAACATAGTTGAGCTAGAGGGTGACATGATGTATATATTTAATCCAGAGGCATTTTTGTTAAAATTTTTCAACAGTTTTAATCACATGTATTTAGTGATTCATATAATTGCTAAATTATAATCTAACCAAATAGCCAGAAGTAACTTTTATATCATTTGTTACATAATCATAATTGGCCAGATTATTGCAAACTCACAAGTTTATGAATGATTACTGTAAAAGAATTTGAATTGGTCAATTATAAAGAACAATGCATCCCTTAATTAATATTTATTTTAATAAAATTCATCACTCCAGAAAGTTTGCCTTAAGCAATAATGTTTTCAAAACATCTTTTATGACATTTCACTTCCTGAATATGGTTATATTACAAACTTTTGAATAAGTGGTTGAAAAAGATTTAGGACAATATGATGCAATATAATTTTTAGCTCCATGGTAATAATTTTCAAATTGGAGATAGAAATGATGAGCTTATTTAATAAAGACTTGAATATGTATATTCTTCTACATGTCTGTAAAGATGATTCATGAACAACTTAGGGAGCAATCATTTCAACCTTCAGTTAAAAGATAAAGAGTAAAACAACAATATTTCTTTTGCTGTGAATTTAATATGAATATTTTAACCAATTTGCAGACTCATCAGATCTAACACTAATGTAAGATGGCTATAATATTTTCTTTTATGAATATTATTGACTGAAGGTTAGGAAAGACTCCCTTCTTCTTGCCAAGTACTACATTAATAAATGAAAATTTTTATTAGGTGTCTGAGTGAATAAAAGTCAGACTCTCAAGAGATAGACATCCATCAGTATTTTAACAAAGTTTTTAAATATTGTAGATATTAATGAAAAGCAGTCACCATATATCCATTTTTTCCCCATCTGTGTTAATGAAAATGTTTTGAAAGTTCAAATGCTACTGATTTGGGTTTACCACCACCTGCCATTTTCTTATTAGATGTGTCATTCACAACAAAATTTCTCTACTAATCAAGCTCTGTGGGTGTAGGGAGAACCCCTGAAACTATCACTACAGAATAAAAGATGAAATGCTCCTGAGTATTGTAAATACAAAATTGCATGCAGGATTGTGTAAAGACAATGCCAGGTTGGACTGCCAGAATGAGCCAACAGCGTGTGACGTGCTTCCCCCTGCAGAGAGCCTATGAATGGATGTGCGGTCAGGGAGGTTTCACATCACCAAGATTCCTATCCCAGAAAAGCAGATGTTCATGGCTCTGGGAATGGAATGCGACCCTTGTGAAGAGCCTATAAACGGATGCATGAGGGGCACCTGTCCATATGGATAAGTTAGGACTATAAATGCCCTCATCTTGCCACGGCTCTTCTAGGCCTCTTTAGGGTTAAGGCATACTCCCTTCTGAGAATTTTTGGTTTAACCGGTTGTCTAGCTTCACATCCTGTTTCTATGGAATGTTTGTAACCAGCTTTTGCTGCAACTGTTACTGCTGATTAATATCTGCTATGGAAAGACTGTTTCTGTTTTAAGGCTCTGTTAGAAAAACTGATGCACACACTATATTGTAAATTCTTATCTCTGTATAGTGTACTTCTGCATACAGAGGTTATGTTAAAGAATTACTTCATCCCCATGTAACCGTCTCACTTCATAATCAAATGACCCTAAATCCCTCACTAACCTATCCCTGCCCTCACTAAACTTAATAATAAATGCTGGCATATCCAGTGCATTGGTGGCACCGCGGGACCAGAAGGCAGTGACCCCCCTGGACCCAGCTTTCACTATCTTGTGTGTGTCTATTATTTCTCGACCTGCCGATCTGCCTGGGACAAAGAAAGAGCCCCATTGCATTGCAGGCTGCTGGCCAGATCCTGCAGTATGTGGGCATGGTCTGGATATTAGATACACAGAACAAAATGACCTGACACACTCTTTATGCCCAAGATAGTTAACAAAATGCTGTCTATCTCACATATTTCCTCTCTTCTTAGGGGCATTGAGAGGTGGTCTCTTCCTGTATATTATTTTTTTCTTTGGATTAAAGATCAGATTACTTTTTTTTCCTTTTATTTTAAGTTCAGGGGTACATGTGCAGGTTGTGAAGGTTTGTTACATAAGTAAATGTGTTTCATGGGGGTTTGCTGTACCAATTATTTTATCACACAGGCATTATCCTAGTATCCATTATTTATTTTTTATGATCCTCTCCCTCCTTCCAACCTCCATCCTCCAATAGGCCCCAGTGTGTGTTGTTCCCCTCCATGTGTTGATGTGTTCTTATCATTTAGCTTGCATTTATAAGTGACAACATGTGGTATCTTGTTTTCTGTTCCTGCACTAGTTTGCTAAGAATAATGGCCTCCAGCTCCATCCATGTTTCTGCAAAGGACACAATCTCATTCTTTTTATGGCTGCAGAGTATTCCATGGTGTATTTGTACCACATTTTCTTTATCCAGTCTAGCCTTGATGGGCATTTGGGTTGGTTCCAAGTCTTTCCTATTGTGAATAGTGCTGTGATGAATATACATGTGCATGCGTCTTTATAATAGAATGATTTATATTCCTTTGGGTATATACCCAGTAATGGGATTGCTGGGTTTAATGATATTCCTAACTTTGGGTCTTTGAGGAATCGCTACACTATCTTACACAATGGATGAACCAATTTACATTCCCACCGACAGTGTAAAAGCATTCCTTTTTCTCCACAACCTCACCAGCGTCTATTATTTTTTGATTTTTAGTAATAGCTTTCTGACTTGTGTGAGACAGTATCTCATTGTAGTTTTGATTTGCATTTATCTAATGTTCAGTGATGTTGACCTTTTTTTCATACGCTTGTTGGCCGCATGTATGTCTTTTGACAAGTTTCTGTTCATGTATTTTGCCCACTTTTTAATGGGGTGTTTTTCTAATTTGTTTAATCTCCTTGTAGATGCTGGATATTAAACCTTTGTCTGATGCATAGTTTGCAAAAATTTTCTCCCACTCTCTACATTGTCTTTTTTTTCTGTTGATAGTTTCTTTGGCTGTGTAGAAGCTCTTTAGTGTAGTTAGATCCCATTTGTCAGTTTTTGCTTTTGTTGCAATTGCTTTTGGTGTCTCTGTCGTGAAAGCATTAGCCATGTCTATGTCCTGAATGGTATTCCCTAGGTAGTCTTCCAGGGGGTTTTTATAGTTTTGGATTTTACACTAAAGTCTTTACTCCATCTTGAGTTAAAGTATAAATAAGAGGTCCAGTTACAATTTTCTGCATATTGCTAGCCAGTTATCCCAGCACCATTTGTTGAATAGGGAATCCTTTTCCCATTGCTTGTTTTTGTCAGGCTTGCCAAAAATCAGAGAGTTGTTAAGTGAACAGTTTTATTTCTGGGTTCTTTATCTGTTCCATTGGTCTAAGTGTCTGCTCTGCACCAGTACCATGCTGTTTTGGTTACTGTAGCCCTGTAGCATAGTTTGAAGTTGGATAGTGTGATGCCTCCAATTTTGTTCTTTTTGCTTAGAATTGGCTTGGTTATTTGTGCTCTTCTTTGGTTCAGTATGAATTTTAAAATAGTTTTCTCTATTTTCAAATAAATATATTACAAGAAACATTAATGCAAAATTTCTCATGATTTTGTGTGAGATATAAAGACTGCATAATGTATTATACTTTAATTTCCTCCCCTTGTTATGAAATAAATATTAAAATAACCTTTCAGAAATAAGAAGGTCAAAGTCTTAGAGTACTATGCTCTTCTAGAGATAATTTATTTATTTTATCCTTTTCAAATAAAGCAAAGAATTTGATATGGTAGGCCAAGAAATTTCCAAGGTTCATGAGGCAGCATCTTTCACATATATTTAGCAGGTGATCAAAAATATAACACCGAAATAATTGAATAGCACTAGAAGAGTAACTAGTTTGGAGATACTAATACAATCATGTGTTGATTAGCAATGGTGATATATTCTTTTTTTAAATTATACTTTAAGTTCTAGGTTACATGTGCACAACGTGCAGGTTTGTTACATATATATACATGTGCCATGTTGGTGTGCTGCACCCATTAACTCGTCATTTACATTAGGTTTATCTCCTAATGCTATCCCTTCCCCCTCACCCCACCCCACAACAGGCTCTGGTGTGTGATGTTCCCCACCCTGTGACCAAGTGTTCTCATTGTTCAATTCCCACCTTTGAGTGAGAACATGTGGTGTTTGGTTTTCTGTCCTCATGATAGTTTGCTCAGAATGATGGTTTCCAGCTTCATCCATGTCCCTACAAAGGGCATGGACTCATCCTTTTTTATGGCTGCAGAGTATTCCATGGTGTATATGTGCCACATTTTCTTAATCCAGTCTATCATTGATGGACATTTGGGTTGGTTCCAAGTCTTTGCTATTGTGAATAGTGCCGCAATAAACATACATGTGCATGCGTCTTTATAGCAGCATGATTTATAATACTGTGGTTGAACAATGGTTGAACTAGTTTACAGTCCCACCAACAGTGTAAAAGTTTTTGTATTTCTCCACATCGTCTCCAGCACCTGTTGTTTCCTGACGTTTTAATGATCGCCATTATAACTGGTGTGAGACGGTATCTCATTGTGGGTTTTGATTTGCATTTCTCTGATGGCCAGTGATGATGAGCATTTTTTCATGTGTCTGTCGGCTGCATAAATGTTTTCTTTTGAGAAGTATCTGTTCATATCCTTCACCCACTTTTTGATGGGGTTGTTTGATTTTTTCTTGTAAATTTGATTAAGTTCTTTGTGGATTCTGGATATTAGCCCTTTGTCAGATGGGTAGATTGTAAAAATTTTCTCCCATTCTGTAGGTAGGTTGCCTGTTCACTCTGACGGTAGTTTCTTTTGCTGTGCAGAAGCTCTTTAGTTTAATTAGACCCCATTTGTCAATTTTGGCTTTTGTTGCCATTGCTTTTGGTGTTTTAGACATGAAGTCCTTGCCCATGCCTATGTCCTGAATAGTAATGCTTAGGTTTTCTTCTAGGGTTTTTATGGTTTAAGGTCCAACATTTAAGTCTTTAATCCATCTTGAATTAGTTTTTGTAGAAGGTGTAAGGAAGGGATCCAGTTTCAGCTTTCTACATATGGCTAGCCAGTTTTCCCAGCACCATTTATTAAATAGGGAATCCTTTCCCCATTTCTTGTTTCTGTCAGGTTTGTCAAAGATCAGATGGTTGTAGATGTGTGGTGTTACTTCTGAGGGCTCTGTTCTGTTCCTTGGGTCTATATCTCTGTTTTGGTACCAGTACCACGCTGTTTTGGTTACTGTAGCCTTGTAGTATAGTTTGAAGTCAGGTAGTGTGATGCCTCCAGCTTTGTTATTTTGGCTTAGGATTGTCTTGGCAATGCGGGCTCTTTTTTGGTTCCATATGAACTTTAAAGTGGTTTTTTCCAATTCTGTGAAGAAAGTCATTGGTAGCTTGATGGGGATGGCATTGAATCTATAAATTACCTTGGGCAGTATGGCCATTTTCATGATATTGATTCTCCTATCCATGAACATGAAATGTTCTTCCATTTGTTTGTATCCTCTTTTATTTCATTGAGCAGTGGTTTGTAGTTCTCCTTGAAGAGGTCCTTCACATCCTTGTAAGTTGGATTCCTAGGTATTTTATTCTCTTTGAAGCAATTTTGAATGGGAATTCATTCAAGATTTGGCTCTCTGTTTGTCTTTTATTGGTGTATAGGAATGCTTGTGATTTTTGCCCATTGATTTTGTATCCTGAGACTTTGCTGAAGTGGCTTATCAGGTTAAGGTGATTTTGGGCTGAGAAGATGGGGTTTTCTAAATATACAATCATGTCATCTGCAAACAGGGACAATTTGACTCCCTGTTTTCCTAAATGAATACCTTTTATTTCTTTCTCCTGCCTGATTGCCCTGGCCAGAATTTCCAACACTATGTTGAATAGGATTGGTGAGAGAGGGCATCCCTGTCTTGTGCCCGTTTTCAAAGTGAATGCTTCCAGTTTTTGCCCATTCAGTATGATATTGGCTGTGGGTTTGTCATAAATAGCTCTTATTATTTTGAGATATGTCCCATCAATACCTAGTTTATTGAGAGTTTTTAGCATGAAGGGCTGTTGAATTTTGTCAAAGACCTTTTCTGCATATATTGAGATAATCATGTGGTTTT